>NT_167214.1:0-161802 GCF_000001405.40 Homo sapiens | reverse complement strand
GAATTCTGCTTCACAATGATAGGAAGAGCCGACATCGAAGGATCAAAAAGCGACGTCGCTATGAACGCTTGGCCGCCACAAGCCAGTTATCCCTGTGGTAACTTTTCTGACACCTCCTGCTTAAAACCCAAAAGGTCAGAAGGATCGTGAGGCCCCGCTTTCACGGTCTGTATTCGTACTGAAAATCAAGATCAAGCGAGCTTTTGCCCTTCTGCTCCACGGGAGGTTTCTGTCCTCCCTGAGCTCGCCTTAGGACACCTGCGTTACCGTTTGACAGGTGTACCGCCCCAGTCAAACTCCCCACCTGGCACTGTCCCCGGAGCGGGTCGCGCCCGGCCGGCGCGCGGCCGGGCGCTTGGCGCCAGAAGCGAGAGCCCCTCGGGGCTCGCCCCCCCGCCTCACCGGGTCAGTGAAAAAACGATCAGAGTAGTGGTATTTCACCGGCGGCCCGCAGGGCCGGCGGACCCCGCCCCGGGCCCCTCGCGGGGACACCGGGGGGGCGCCGGGGGCCTCCCACTTATTCTACACCTCTCATGTCTCTTCACCGTGCCAGACTAGAGTCAAGCTCAACAGGGTCTTCTTTCCCCGCTGATTCCGCCAAGCCCGTTCCCTTGGCTGTGGTTTCGCTGGATAGTAGGTAGGGACAGTGGGAATCTCGTTCATCCATTCATGCGCGTCACTAATTAGATGACGAGGCATTTGGCTACCTTAAGAGAGTCATAGTTACTCCCGCCGTTTACCCGCGCTTCATTGAATTTCTTCACTTTGACATTCAGAGCACTGGGCAGAAATCACATCGCGTCAACACCCGCCGCGGGCCTTCGCGATGCTTTGTTTTAATTAAACAGTCGGATTCCCCTGGTCCGCACCAGTTCTAAGTCGGCTGCTAGGCGCCGGCCGAGGCGAGGCGCCGCGCGGAACCGCGGCCCCGGGGGCGGACCCGGCGGGGGGGACCGGCCCGCGGCCCCTCCGCCGCCTGCCGCCGCCGCCGCCGCGCGCCGAGGAGGAGGGGGGAACGGGGGGCGGACGGGGCCGGGGGGGTAGGGCGGGGGGACGAACCGCCCCGCCCCGCCGCCCGCCGACCGCCGCCGCCCGACCGCTCCCCGCCCCCAGCGGACGCGCGCGCGACGAGACGTGGGGTGGGGGGGGGGGCGCGCCGGCGCCCGCCGGGCTCCCCGGGGGCGGCCGCGACGCCCGCCGCAGCTGGGGCGATCCACGGGAAGGGCCCGGCTCGCGTCCAGAGTCGCCGCCGCCGCCGGCCCCCCGGGTGCCCGGGCCCCCCTCGCGGGGGACCGTGCCCCCGCCGCCGGGGCCCCGCGGCGGGCCGCCGCCGGCCCCTGCCGCCCCGACCCTTCTCCCCCCGCCGCCGCCCCCACGCGGCGCTCCCCCGGGGAGGGGGGAGGACGGGGAGCGGGGGAGAGAGAGAGAGAGAGGGCGCGGGGCGGGGAGGGAGCGAGCGGCGCGCGCGGGGTGGGGCGGGGGAGGGCCGCGAGGGGGGTGCCCCGGGCGTGGGGGGGGCGGCGGCGCCTCGTCCAGCCGCGGCGCGCGCCCAGCCCCGCTTCGCGCCCCAGCCCGACCGACCCAGCCCTTAGAGCCAATCCTTATCCCGAAGTTACGGATCCGGCTTGCCGACTTCCCTTACCTACATTGTTCCAACATGCCAGAGGCTGTTCACCTTGGAGACCTGCTGCGGATATGGGTACGGCCCGGCGCGAGATTTACACCCTCTCCCCCGGATTTTCAAGGGCCAGCGAGAGCTCACCGGACGCCGCCGGAACCGCGACGCTTTCCAAGGCACGGGCCCCTCTCTCGGGGCGAACCCATTCCAGGGCGCCCTGCCCTTCACAAAGAAAAGAGAACTCTCCCCGGGGCTCCCGCCGGCTTCTCCGGGATCGGTCGCGTTACCGCACTGGACGCCTCGCGGCGCCCATCTCCGCCACTCCGGATTCGGGGATCTGAACCCGACTCCCTTTCGATCGGCCGAGGGCAACGGAGGCCATCGCCCGTCCCTTCGGAACGGCGCTCGCCCATCTCTCAGGACCGACTGACCCATGTTCAACTGCTGTTCACATGGAACCCTTCTCCACTTCGGCCTTCAAAGTTCTCGTTTGAATATTTGCTACTACCACCAAGATCTGCACCTGCGGCGGCTCCACCCGGGCCCGCGCCCTAGGCTTCAAGGCTCACCGCAGCGGCCCTCCTACTCGTCGCGGCGTAGCGTCCGCGGGGCTCCGGGGGCGGGGAGCGGGGCGTGGGCGGGAGGAGGGGAGGAGGCGTGGGGGGGGGGGCGGGGGAAGGACCCCACACCCCCGCCGCCGCCGCCGCCGCCGCCCTCCGACGCACACCACACGCGCGCGCGCGCGCGCCGCCCCCGCCGCTCCCGTCCACTCTCGACTGCCGGCGACGGCCGGGTATGGGCCCGACGCTCCAGCGCCATCCATTTTCAGGGCTAGTTGATTCGGCAGGTGAGTTGTTACACACTCCTTAGCGGATTCCGACTTCCATGGCCACCGTCCTGCTGTCTATATCAACCAACACCTTTTCTGGGGTCTGATGAGCGTCGGCATCGGGCGCCTTAACCCGGCGTTCGGTTCATCCCGCAGCGCCAGTTCTGCTTACCAAAAGTGGCCCACTAGGCACTCGCATTCCACGCCCGGCTCCACGCCAGCGAGCCGGGCTTCTTACCCATTTAAAGTTTGAGAATAGGTTGAGATCGTTTCGGCCCCAAGACCTCTAATCATTCGCTTTACCGGATAAAACTGCGTGGCGGGGGTGCGTCGGGTCTGCGAGAGCGCCAGCTATCCTGAGGGAAACTTCGGAGGGAACCAGCTACTAGATGGTTCGATTAGTCTTTCGCCCCTATACCCAGGTCGGACGACCGATTTGCACGTCAGGACCGCTACGGACCTCCACCAGAGTTTCCTCTGGCTTCGCCCTGCCCAGGCATAGTTCACCATCTTTCGGGTCCTAACACGTGCGCTCGTGCTCCACCTCCCCGGCGCGGCGGGCGAGACGGGCCGGTGGTGCGCCCTCGGCGGACTGGAGAGGCCTCGGGATCCCACCTCGGCCGGCGAGCGCGCCGGCCTTCACCTTCATTGCGCCACGGCGGCTTTCGTGCGAGCCCCCGACTCGCGCACGTGTTAGACTCCTTGGTCCGTGTTTCAAGACGGGTCGGGTGGGTAGCCGACGTCGCCGCCGACCCCGTGCGCTCGCTCCGCCGTCCCCCTCTTCGGGGGACGCGCGCGTGGCCCCGAGAGAACCTCCCCCGGGCCCGACGGCGCGACCCGCCCGGGGCGCACTGGGGACAGTCCGCCCCGCCCCCCGACCCGCGCGCGGCACCCCCCCCGTCGCCGGGGCGGGGGCGCGGGGAGGAGGGGTGGGAGAGCGGTCGCGCCGTGGGAGGGGTGGCCCGGCCCCCCCACGAGGAGACGCCGGCGCGCCCCCGCGGGGGAGACCCCCCTCGCGGGGGATTCCCCGCGGGGGTGGGCGCCGGGAGGGGGGAGAGCGCGGCGACGGGTCTCGCTCCCTCGGCCCCGGGATTCGGCGAGTGCTGCTGCCGGGGGGGCTGTAACACTCGGGGGGGGTTTCGGTCCCGCCGCCGCCGCCGCCGCCGCCACCGCCGCCGCCGCCGCCGCCCCGACCCGCGCGCCCTCCCGAGGGAGGACGCGGGGCCGGGGGGCGGAGACGGGGGAGGAGGAGGACGGACGGACGGACGGACGGGGCCCCCCGAGCCACCTTCCCCGCCGGGCCTTCCCAGCCGTCCCGGAGCCGGTCGCGGCGCACCGCCGCGGTGGAAATGCGCCCGGCGGCGGCCGGTCGCCGGTCGGGGGACGGTCCCCCGCCGACCCCACCCCCGGCCCCGCCCGCCCACCCCCGCACCCGCCGGAGCCCGCCCCCTCCGGGGAGGAGGAGGAGGGGCGGCGGGGGAAGGGAGGGCGGGTGGAGGGGTCGGGAGGAACGGGGGGCGGGAAAGATCCGCCGGGCCGCCGACACGGCCGGACCCGCCGCCGGGTTGAATCCTCCGGGCGGACTGCGCGGACCCCACCCGTTTACCTCTTAACGGTTTCACGCCCTCTTGAACTCTCTCTTCAAAGTTCTTTTCAACTTTCCCTTACGGTACTTGTTGACTATCGGTCTCGTGCCGGTATTTAGCCTTAGATGGAGTTTACCACCCGCTTTGGGCTGCATTCCCAAGCAACCCGACTCCGGGAAGACCCGGGCCCGGCGCGCCGGGGGCCGCTACCGGCCTCACACCGTCCACGGGCTGGGCCTCGATCAGAAGGACTTGGGCCCCCCACGAGCGGCGCCGGGGAGCGGGTCTTCCGTACGCCACATGTCCCGCGCCCCGCCGCGGGGCGGGGATTCGGCGCTGGGCTCTTCCCTGTTCACTCGCCGTTACTGAGGGAATCCTGGTTAGTTTCTTCTCCTCCGCTGACTAATATGCTTAAATTCAGCGGGTCGCCACGTCTGATCTGAGGTCGCGTCTCGGAGGGGGACGGGCCGCTCGGCGGACGGACGGACGGAATCGCGCCGGCCCGACCGCCCGCCCGACGCTCCGTCGGGAGACGGGCCCGGCGAGGGGGAGAGGCGACGGGAGAGAGAGCGCGCGGCCGGCGGCACCCCCGCGCCGCCCCGCCGGAGCGGGACGACCGGAGGGAGGGGCACGGGCCGGGGGCGGGACGGGCGCCGCACGCCCCGACCCGTCTCCCCCGCGGAGGTCGGGGGGACGGGTCCGAGGACGCGGCGGCGGAGCCGCCCCGCCCCGACGCGGAAGCTCGGGACGGGGCCCCGGCGCGGCGCGGCGCGGCCGCGAGCCGGAGGCGGGCGCGCGACGGCGGACGACACCGCGGCGTCCCGCGGGTCGCCGCCGGGGACACGCGAACCCCGGCGCCGCGGCCACGGGCGCGGCCGGGCGGGCCGCGGGGCGGGCTCCCGGCCCCGGCCGACGCGCCGCGAGGCGAGCCGGGCGGGCGGGCGCGCGTACGCGCGGGGAGGGCGAGGAGGACGGGCGGGGCCTCGGAGGAGGGGCGGCGGGGAGGAGGAGGGGCGCGGGAGCGGCGGTCGGCCGGACGCCGGGCCGCCACCGGGGGCGGGCGGCGAACCGCGGCGACCGGGACGCGCTCCCCCGACCCTCTCTCCCCGCCGGCACCCTTCCCCTTCCGGACCCGCCTTCCTCCTCCCCCACCACCACACCGCACGCAACACGCCCCCACCGCCGACGACGCGCGACGACGACGACGACGACGGGCACGGGACCTTCCACCCGGCCGGGGCCGACGAACCCCGAACCCCGAGCCGCGCGCGGCGCGAGGGAGCCCCCCGAGGGAGGAACCCGGACCGCAGGCGGCGGCCACGGGAACTCGGCCCGAGCCGGCTCTCTCTTTCCCTCTCCGTCTTCGCGGGCGGCGGCGGCGCCGCCCTCCCCGTCTCTCTCAGCCGGGCGCGCCCCCCTCTCCCCCCCGCCACCCGACGCGTGACCACGCAGGGCCCGCGGGGGGAGGGGGAAGGGGCGGGCGCGGCGGCAAGAGGAGGGCGGACGCCGCCGGGTCTGCGCTTAGGGGGACGGAGGGCCCCCGGCGGGCCCTGCGAGGGAACCCCCAGCCGCGCACCCCGAGGAGCCCGGAGGCACCCCCGGGGGCGATTGATCGGCAAGCGACGCTCAGACAGGCGTAGCCCCGGGAGGAACCCGGGGCCGCAAGTGCGTTCGAAGTGTCGATGATCAATGTGTCCTGCAATTCACATTAATTCTCGCAGCTAGCTGCGTTCTTCATCGACGCACGAGCCGAGTGATCCACCGCTAAGAGTCGTACGAGGTCGATTTGGCGAGGGCGCTCCCGACGACGCACCGGGAGGAGGCCCTTCCTGGCGCGGCACGTCCCCCCCCCCCCCGCCCAAGAGGAGAGGGGGTTGCCTCAGGCCGGCCAGACGAGACAGCAAACGGGACCGGACTCCGGAGAGGGGTCGGAAGGTTTCACACCACGGGGAGGCGCGCGCCGCCCACGCGGGGGCGAGCGCGGACACCACCCCACAGGCGCCCGGGGGTTCCCGCCCCCACGGCGCGGGGCGCACGCCACACGCGCGGCAGGCGCGCGACGGCCGCCGGGTAAAGCCCCCACCCGACGGCCGCCGCGGCGGCGGCGGCGGCGCGGCCCCGGCCGGGGAGCGGAGTCCGCGGTGGAGGCGCGGGAGGGGCCGGGCCCCTCCCGACGGGACTCCCCCGCGGGCCCACCACCGCCCCCGACCCACGGGCGGACGGGCGATCCCCCCAAGGGGTCTTTAAACCTCCGCGCCGGAACGCGCTAGGTACCTGGACGGCGGGGGGGCGGACGAGGAGGCGGGGGAGGGGACCGGCGTCCGGCCCCCGACCCTCGAGACGCCCTAGCGGGAAGGCCGGGGAGAGCGAGCGGGGCCGTGCCCGGCGGCGCGGAGCGGCGCGGCGGAGGCGACGGGAATCCGGCCGGCCCCGAAGACGGGGAGCCGGCGCGGCGGGGCCGGACGACGGGCCCCGGCGGGGAGGAGGGCACCGAGACCCCCCCAGACCCGCCGCGACGCCGCCGAGAACCGCCCCCGCGCCCGCCGACACCCACGTCGTCGGGGCCGCGGCCGGGGACCGCTCCCCGCCGCCCGCCGGCCCCACGACACGCGCACACCAACGACACGCCCTTCTTTCTCTTTCTCTCTCTCTCTCTCTCTCCCCCGTCTCCCTCCCGAGTTCTCCGGCTCTCGCGGCCGGCGGGGCCGGGCGGCGAACGAACGAGCGAGCGAACGAACGGGCACGCGGGCCCCGCCCGCGCACGCGCCGCGTCGCGGTGGGGGGGTGGGTGTGCGGAGGGAAGCGCGCGGCGGCGGCGGCGCCGCCGCGGGCCTCGCCCTCCGGGCTCCGTTAATGATCCTTCCGCAGGTTCACCTACGGAAACCTTGTTACGACTTTTACTTCCTCTAGATAGTCAAGTTCGACCGTCTTCTCAGCGCTCCGCCAGGGCCGTGGGCCGACCCCGGCGGGGCCGATCCGAGGGCCTCACTAAACCATCCAATCGGTAGTAGCGACGGGCGGTGTGTACAAAGGGCAGGGACTTAATCAACGCAAGCTTATGACCCGCACTTACTGGGAATTCCTCGTTCATGGGGAATAATTGCAATCCCCGATCCCCATCACGAATGGGGTTCAACGGGTTACCCGCGCCTGCCGGCGTAGGGTAGGCACACGCTGAGCCAGTCAGTGTAGCGCGCGTGCAGCCCCGGACATCTAAGGGCATCACAGACCTGTTATTGCTCAATCTCGGGTGGCTGAACGCCACTTGTCCCTCTAAGAAGTTGGGGGACGCCGACCGCTCGGGGGTCGCGTAACTAGTTAGCATGCCAGAGTCTCGTTCGTTATCGGAATTAACCAGACAAATCGCTCCACCAACTAAGAACGGCCATGCACCACCACCCACGGAATCGAGAAAGAGCTATCAATCTGTCAATCCTGTCCGTGTCCGGGCCGGGTGAGGTTTCCCGTGTTGAGTCAAATTAAGCCGCAGGCTCCACTCCTGGTGGTGCCCTTCCGTCAATTCCTTTAAGTTTCAGCTTTGCAACCATACTCCCCCCGGAACCCAAAGACTTTGGTTTCCCGGAAGCTGCCCGGCGGGTCATGGGAATAACGCCGCCGCATCGCCGGTCGGCATCGTTTATGGTCGGAACTACGACGGTATCTGATCGTCTTCGAACCTCCGACTTTCGTTCTTGATTAATGAAAACATTCTTGGCAAATGCTTTCGCTCTGGTCCGTCTTGCGCCGGTCCAAGAATTTCACCTCTAGCGGCGCAATACGAATGCCCCCGGCCGTCCCTCTTAATCATGGCCTCAGTTCCGAAAACCAACAAAATAGAACCGCGGTCCTATTCCATTATTCCTAGCTGCGGTATCCAGGCGGCTCGGGCCTGCTTTGAACACTCTAATTTTTTCAAAGTAAACGCTTCGGGCCCCGCGGGACACTCAGCTAAGAGCATCGAGGGGGCGCCGAGAGGCAAGGGGCGGGGACGGGCGGTGGCTCGCCTCGCGGCGGACCGCCCGCCCGCTCCCAAGATCCAACTACGAGCTTTTTAACTGCAGCAACTTTAATATACGCTATTGGAGCTGGAATTACCGCGGCTGCTGGCACCAGACTTGCCCTCCAATGGATCCTCGTTAAAGGATTTAAAGTGGACTCATTCCAATTACAGGGCCTCGAAAGAGTCCTGTATTGTTATTTTTCGTCACTACCTCCCCGGGTCGGGAGTGGGTAATTTGCGCGCCTGCTGCCTTCCTTGGATGTGGTAGCCGTTTCTCAGGCTCCCTCTCCGGAATCGAACCCTGATTCCCCGTCACCCGTGGTCACCATGGTAGGCACGGCGACTACCATCGAAAGTTGATAGGGCAGACGTTCGAATGGGTCGTCGCCGCCACGGGGGGCGTGCGATCGGCCCGAGGTTATCTAGAGTCACCAAAGCCGCCGGCGCCCGCCCCCCGGCCGGGGCCGGAGAGGGGCTGACCGGGTTGGTTTTGATCTGATAAATGCACGCATCCCCCCCGCGAAGGGGGTCAGCGCCCGTCGGCATGTATTAGCTCTAGAATTACCACAGTTATCCAAGTAGGAGAGGAGCGAGCGACCAAAGGAACCATAACTGATTTAATGAGCCATTCGCAGTTTCACTGTACCGGCCGTGCGTACTCAGACATGCATGGCTTAATCTTTGAGACAAGCATATGCTACTGGCAGGATCAACCAGGTAGGTAAGGTAGAGCGCGGCGAGGCCCCGACGCGGCCGGACGGCCGGCCGGGGGGCCTCGCGAGGACGGGCCCGGCGCCCCGCAAGCGAGGAGGACGACGGACGGACGGACGGGCCGCGGACGGGCGGACGGGAGGGAGCGAGCGGGCGCGGGGGCGGCGGCCGGGACCGGTGGGGCCGGGGCGGGGCGCGGCGAACCGGACGCCCCAACCACCCGCCCCCCACGCGACACGACCACCGGGGCCCCGCGCCACAGACCCGCGACGCTTCTTCGTCGCGCCCGCCCGCGAGGAGGCGGACGGCCCGACCCGCGCCCGGCGGCCGGGAGGGACCGGCGGCCACGCGCGCGCGCGCGCGGCCGGCGCCCGCGGGCGGCGGCGAGGCGGGGACGGCGCTCCGCCCGCCCCGCGGGGCGGCCCCGACGTCCGGGCGGCGAGCGAGAGGCGGACCGCGGTGCCCGGCCCGGGGACAGTCGCGCCGTGCGGCCGCAGCGCCCGCGCACCGGTCCGGTCGAGGGCCCGGGGCCCGGCCGAAGCCCGGCTCCGAGCCCCGCCGGCGGGCGCGGGCGCAGGGGTGGCACACGCCACACGACGGCCAAGGGAGGGCCGACCGAGGCCGGCCGGCGCGCCCGCCCCCGCCCGGGACGGGGGACCGCGACCGGGGCCGAGGCCCCGGCCCGGGCCCCACCCCCCGACCCGGGGAAAGGGCGAGCGACCGGCAAGGCGGAGGTCGACCCACGCCACACGTCGCACGAACGCCTGTCCGGCAGGGACCACCGGGCCGCGCTCGGGCGCACGCGCGCGCCGAACGGGGCGACGCCACGCGGGGAGGACGGGCTCTCCCCGACGCCGACGCCCGGGACGGACGCCTCGGGGAAGGGCCGCGGCAGGCCCGGGAAGCGAGGCGCACCCGGGGGACGCGCCGACCCGGTTCGGAAGAGCGGGCCGGGAGAAGACGAGAGACCACGGGCGAGGCCGGGGCGACGGGGAAGGCGCGAGAAAGGCGGCCGGCGGGGAAGGGGACGCCACGGGGACCCCTCGAGCGCGGCCGACCGCGGCCGGGACACACGCGCGGGGCCTCACCGCCGCCGGCGGCACCGCGCGGCACCCGGGGCGGCCGACCGGCCCTCGGCGATCCCCGCGGCTGCCCCCACCACCGCCGCCGCAGTCGCGGCCGGTCCCCCGGAACCGTCTCCTCCCCCGCACGCGCCGCAGGCCGACCCCCGGAACCCTCCGGGAAGCCCACCGGGCCCCACGCGGGGCGCCACCGACCCGGTCCCCAAGGCGCGCGCCGGGGGACGCGGACGCCGGGCCGATCAGTGGCCGGCGGCGGCGCCCCACGAGGCGGTGCCGGGTTCGGTCCCAGGCGGGGCCACCAACGGACGTGAAGCCGGTGAGCCGCTCGGGGGGAAGAAGAGGATCGGCGGGCGGCGGGCGGGGAAGAGGGCACAGACGGGCGAGGGCCGGGGACCGCGAGGGCAAGGGCACCCGGGAGCCCGCAGAGGCGGCGGCTCGGGGAGAAACCTCAGGCACGGCCGGGCCACCAGGAAAACACGGCCGCGGGATCCCACCGCCACAGACACGAGGGCGGTCCCGCGGCGCCCCGCCTGGGACGCCGGACGGCCCTCGGCCCCCACCGAGAACCGCCTCGCGAGCCCCGGGGCCCCGCCACCGGGGGCCCCGGAGCGACCGCAGCCACGAACCCGACACGCCCGCACCACCGTCGCTCGTGATTCTCGTCCATCCTCCGACCCGGTCCCGCTCCGGGAGACCGGCGCGCCCCCACCGTGGGACGCTTTCCCAGGGCCAGGCGGGCCCGACCCCGTGCCACGCAAACGCGGTCGTCGGCACCGGTCACGACTCGGCACGGGAGCGGGCGGAGAGCCGACTCGCGGCGGAGGGGGTCACGCGCCGGACAGAGCGCCGGGCGCGCACACCCACCGCCCGCCGGCCGCCGCGTCCCAACCCGCTGGGAACGCCGGGCCCGGCCCGGCGGGATCCTCCCCCGACTCGGAAGGGGGAGGCGCGGGCCACAGTAGGCGACGAGCCGCACTCGGCCACCACCGCGGTGGCCGGCGGAACCCTCGCTTCTCCCCCCCAACCCCGTCGAGGGGGAAGCGGAGGAGGGTCCTCTGCGAGCGGGTCGCTACGGCAGCGCTACCATAACGGAGGCAGAGACAGAGGCGGCGGCCCGGGGGATCCGGTACCCCCAAGGCACGCCTCTCAGATCGCTAGAGAAGGCTTTTCTCACCGAGGGTGGGTCACACTCCCCCCACCCGCCAGCCGCTCCTCCTCGGGCCCGCAGAGGCGCCGAGGGACGCCTGGGGAAGGGAGGGGGCCCTGCGGTACGAGGAAACACCTGCGCGCGGCCACCTCGAGCGTTCGCGTTCAGGGCGGGGGCCCGGCCGGTGCGCGCGTGCGCGCAACCCCACCAGGCCCCCCCGTCCACCCACCTCCTTCCTTCCGAGGCAGAGCGCCTCCGAAGTCAACCCACACACGACCGGTCGGAGGCAGAACGGCAGCCCCTCGGCGGCCGGCCGGCGCACGCGTCACACCGGCCCGAACCCACCGCGATCGCTCACACGGCCCGCGCGCACCCGCCAGAGGGGAGCACGGGACGTGCGCTCACCGAGAGCAGGCGGGCGCCCTTCCCCGCGTGGGAGGGGCGCGTCTCGTCTCGTCTCACTCAAACCGCCTCGAACCCCACACCGACGAGCTCCCTCAGGACCCACGCGCGGACACCGCGGCGGCGACCGGAGGAGGGGGCGCCGGGGGCGGGAACGACACACCACCGTTCGGCCTCGGGCACCTGAGGGACAACCCGGAGCGCTCCAGGAGCACCGCAAGGGCCCAGGCGGAGCCGACGCTCGCGCAAACCCCCCGAGAGGGCAGCACGACGGGCCGGCGGGACGGCACCCCCACCGCCGCGGAGGGGGGCCGCCCGCAAGTCGACAACCACTGGAGGCGACAGCGAGGGCTGTCTGCCGCGTCAGAGGACCCCGCCGGCCCGCCCCGCGACGCAGAAGGCGGCGGGCGGGACGGCGAGGTCGGGCCGGGGTCCGCACCCCACGCCTTCCCACACGCACCGCCGGCGGGCGGGGAGAGGAGAGACGAGGGGACCCCCGCGGGGCGGAGCGAGAAGGACGGTCCCGTTCGCCACGAACGTCCGCCCCTCGCCCGTCGCGGCTCGGACCCGGCCCGGGAGAGCACGACGTCACCACATCGATCACGAAGAGCCCCCCGGGAGCGGAGGCCGGCCGGCCGGCCAGCGAGCCGATCGGCTCCGGCCAACCCCCCACTCCGGGGAAGGGGCGGCGGACAACCCCGCGGAGACGAGAACGCCTGACACGCACGGCACGGAGCCAGCGGGGTGGGGTTGTCGCGGCCGCCCCGGGCGCCCGCAGCGGAGAGCGCACGGGGGCACGGTGGCCCTCGCCGCCTTCCCCGCCGCCCCCGGGTGGGTCAGAGACCCGGACCCGGGCCGGCACCGGGAGTCGGGACGCTCGGACGCGCGAGAGAACAGCAGGCCCGCGGGCCCCGGCAGGCGGCTCAAGCAGGAGCGCGGCCGGCTAGCCGGGTCACCGGTAGGCCAGAGCCCCGCGCGCATCCGGAGGCCCAACCTCTCCAGCGACAGGTCGCCAGAGGACAGCGTGTCAGCAATAACCCGGCGGCCCAAAATGCCGACTCGGAGCGAAAGATATACCTCCCCCGGGGCCGGGAGGTCGCGTCACCGACCACGCCGCCGGCCCAGGCGACGCGCGACACGGACACCTGTCCCCAAAAACGCCACCATCGCAGCCACACACGGAGCGCCCGGGGCCCTCTGGTCAACCCCAGGACACACGCGGGAGCAGCGCCGGGCCGGGGACGCCCTCCCGGCCGCCCGTGCCACACGCAGGGGGCCGGCCCGTGTCTCCAGAGCGGGAGCCGGAAGCATTTTCGGCCGGCCCCTCCTACGACCGGGACACACGAGGGACCGAAGGCCGGCCAGGCGCGACCTCTCGGGCCGCACGCGCGCTCAGGGAGCGCTCTCCGACTCCGCACGGGGACTCGCCAGAAAGGATCGCGGCAGAGGGACCGCGGCCCGGCCCGGGGACCGCTCCCCGGCACCCGGGGGACGGGGGCGGGACGGTCCCCGGCTCCCCACGGGGACTCGGAAACGAATTCGGCCGCCGCCTCAGACGGCCAGGATGAGCGCGGACCCGCGACCGGGCCGGGAAGGGCGTCCCCAGCCTCCCGCGCCACGCGCGGCGGGTCCCCGCGGGTCGCGGCTCGGGCCTCGGGAGCTACGGCGCGCTGGTCGACCGGCCCGGGCAGCCCCACGCCCGCCGCGGGCCCAGAAGCGCAGCGACAGCCTCTCCCCCACATAAACCTGCACGCCAGAGCTGTGACTCACAAGCGACGCGCCACAGCTCTGGCGCCACCGGGCCAGCCGGGCTGACGACCGCGGGCTTTCCGGAGCTCTGCCTAGCTCACAGCGGGGACGGTCCCCTCCCTCGGCAGCTGCCACCGCAGCTCCGGAAGCCGAGAGCACGATCTCAAAGCGGCCGCCAGATGGAGCCCGACAACCGCCGCGGACGTCAGCGAGACAGATCCGGCTGGCAGGGCGGCCCGTGGACCGCGAAAGCGAAACCGTGAGTCGAGAAGCTCTTCCCGAGGCCGAAAACGCAGCCCCTCTGCCCCAACCCCACACAAACGGTGCCCAAAACGCGTCTCTGCCTCGACCGCGACAGAGTCAGAAGACAACCCACGGCGCGTGGGTGTTTGGAGATGCCTCTCGGAAGCAGGGAGGGAGGGAGGGAGGGAGTGAGGGAGGGAGAAAGAACACACAAGGACTCGGTCGCGGGTCGCTGCAGACACACGGAGAGGCAGAATGCGTAGGCTCTTCCGGAATCCACGCAGAGACAGACGGGGGGAGGGGAGTGGGGAAAAGAGACAGATGGCGAAAGGGAAGGAGGGAGGGAAGGGAGCAGGGAGGGAGGGAGGGAGGGAGGGAGGAAGAAAATGGAGAAAAGAGAGACAATTTAGAAAACGTAGATACACAAAGTAAACTTCTGAAACACTCCATTTTTTAAAAGACAGACGGGAAGGAAAGAAACACGAAAAAGAGAGAAAGAATGAGGAAAGAAACGAAGGAAAGAAGGGAAAAAGAAACAGAGAGGAAAGAAAAAAGAAGGAAACACAGGGAACGAAAGAGAAATAAAGCACGAAGGAAAAAAGGACAGAAAGAGAGAAAGAAGGAAAGGAAGAGAGGAAGAAAAACCTAAAGAAGGAGAGAAAGGAAGAAAGGAAGGAAGAAAAACACGAAGGAGAGGAAGAAAGAAAACAGAGATAACTACGTACGCTCGTTCATTTACACACATAAATACGACGCTTTTCATACGTAAAATAAACGTCTTTATCGACGATCCCTTCTTTATAGAGCGATGTGTATTTATTTGTATAACACAAACACCTACATCTATCATACAGAAGTCTATTTCCATACAACCGATACGTATTTACCATACGCAAGAGTATTCAATGCAGAGATACACGTTGTCGTTGTTTGCATATAAGCGTACAGAAACGTTTACATTAATACATATAAGTAAACGCGTGGAAACGAAAGAAATAAAAAAGCGAAATGAGTCAACAGGCCGGGCACGGTGGCTCACGCCCGTCATCCCAGCACTTCGAGAGGCCGAGGTGGGCGCATCACAGGAGGTCGGGAGTTGGAGACCAGCCTGAGCAACATGGAGAGACACGGCGTGCCTACTAAAAACACAAACATCAGCCAAGCCAGGCGTGGGGGTGCCTCCCTGTAATCCCCGCTAATCGGGAGGCTGAGGCAGGAGAAGCGCTCGAACCCGGGAGGCGGAAGGTGCGGTGAGCCAAGATCGCGCCATTGCACTCTAGCCGTGGAAACAAGAGTGAAACTCTGTCTCAAAAGGACGAAACAGAAAGAAAGAAAGAAAGAAAGAAAGAAAGAAAGAAAGAAAGATAGAAAGAAAGAAAGAAAGAAAGGAAAGAAAGAAAGAATGAATGAATGAAAGAAAAGAAAGCAAGAAAGAAAGAAAAAGAAAAGAAAGAAAGAAAAGAAAGCAAGAAAGAAAGCACGAAAGCAAGCAAGCAAGAAAGCAAGAAAACAAGGAAGCAAGAAAGCAAGCAAGAAAGAAACAAAAGAAAGAAAGCAAGAAAACAAGAAAGCACGAAAGCAAGCAAGCAAGAAAGCAAGAAAACAAGGAAGCAAGAAAGAAAGAAACAAAAGAAAGAAAGAAAACAAGAAAGCAAGAAAGCACGAAAGCAATCAAGCAAGAAAGCAAGCAGGAAAGAAACAAAAGAAAGAAAGAAAGCGAGAAAACAAGAAAGCACGAAAGCAAGCAAGCAAGAAAGCAAGCAAGAAAGAAAGAAAGAAAGAAAACAGGAAAGCAAGAAAGCACGAAAGCAAGCAAGCAAGCAAGAAAGCAAGCAAGAAAGAAACAAAAGAAAGAAAGAAAGAAAGAAAGAAAAAGAAAACAGGAAAGCAAGAAAGCACGAAAGCAAGCAAGCAAGCAAGAAAGCAAGCATGAAAGAAACGAAAGAAAGAAAGAAAGCAAGAAAACGGGAAAGCAAGAAAGCACGAAAGCAAGCAAGCGAGCGAGAGAGAGAGAGAGAGAGAGAGAGAGAGAGAGAGAGAGAGAGGCTGGGCGCGGTGGCTCACGCCTGTCATCCCAGCACTTTGGGAGGCTAAGGCAGGCGGACCACCTGAGGTTGGGAGTGGGAGACCAGCCTGACCAACATGGAAAAACACCGTCTCTACTAAAAGTACAAACATCAGCCAGGCACGGTGGCCCATGCCTGTAATCCCAGCTAATCAGGAGGCTGAGGCAGGAGAATCGCTTGAACCTGGGAGGCGGAGGGTGCGGTGAGCCGAGATCGCACCATTGCCCTCTAGCCTGGGCAACAAGAGTGAAACTCTGTCTCAAAAAAAAAAGAAGAAGAAGAAGAAGAAGAAGAAGAAGAAGAAGAAGAAGAAGAAGAAGAAGAAGAAGAAGAAGAAGAAAAAGAGAAAGTAATAAAGAAAGAAAGAAAGAAAAGGCAAGGCCAGGCAAGTCCAGGCAAGGCAAATCTACCTGCTTTCACTACATCTGGGGAGAATCAGGAAAGTCCCCAACAACAACAAGGCCTAAAGTGGAGCTGCCATCTGTCAAACCCGAGCGGAAGAGTCCACGCGGGTTAAAGACACGAAGAAAGACAAGGAAACCCCTGACCAAGGAGAAGAACAATCGGGCCCAGCCAGGGTCTGTCTCCCGGGGTTGTCTGGGCAACCAGGGAGGGCGGGCCTCCGAGACTCCGTCTCGAAACATCAATCACGATAATAACATAAAATGAAGTTAAAAAAAGAAATCACGCATAATTCCTAACGTGTTTGAGGCCTCGAAAGGCGAGAGGCGTACGTGTATGTCACGGTGGGGTTGTTCTGTTTTGTTGTTTTTTTCTTTTTTCTTTTCTTCTTTTTCCCCAGAAACTCACTTTTTAATTATTTTGTTGCGTTTCATTTTCATTTTCATTTTTTGGAGACGGAGTCTCGCTCTGTCGCCCAGGCTGGGTTGCAGTGGCGCGATCTCGGCTCACTGCAACCTCCGCCTCCCAGGTTCAAGCGATTCTCCTGCCTCAGCTCGGCCTCCCGAGTAGCTGGGATTACAGACAGTACAGCACAGCACAGCGCCCGGCTAATGTTGTGTATTGTGAGTAGAGACGGGGTTTCACCATACTGGCCCTGTTGGTCTGACCGCCTCTTGATCCACCGGCCTTGGCCTCCCAAAGTGAGGGGATGACAGGCTTGAGCCACCGCGCAGGGCCCATTTATTTATTTTATTTTATTTATTTATTTTAATTTATGTATGTATGTATGTATGTATGTATGTATTTATTTATGTATTTATTTTTGAGACGGAGTTTCGCTCTTGTTGCTCAGACTGGAGTGCGATGGCGCAATCTCGGCTCACTGCAACCTCCGCTTCCCAGGTTCAAGCGATTCTCCTGCCTCAGCCTTCCTAGCAGCTGGGATTATAGGCATGTGCCACCGCGCCCGGCTAGTTTTGTATTTTCAATTGAGACGGGATTTCTCCATGTTGGTCGGGCTTGTCTCCAACTCCCGACTTCAGGTGATGCGTCCACCTCGGCATCCCAAAGTGACGGGATGACAGGCATGAGCCACCGCGCCCGGCGTATTGTATTGTATTGTATTGTATTGTATTGTATTGTATTGTATTGTATTGTATTGTATTGTATTGTATTGTATTGTATTGTATTGTATTGTATCGTATCGTATTGTATTGTATCCTATCGTATCCTATCGCATCCTATCGTATCGTATCTTATTGTATTGTAATGGGTTGTATTGACTTATTTTATTTAGTTAGTTACTTTTGTGTTATTTTATTGATTTATCTGTTTGTTCGTTTTTGCCTGATCAAAGGTCAATCAGACCCAGTCGTCAAAGTGGCGATTTCCTAGGCAACAAGGGAGGGAGGAACTTGGAGGTGGGGGCGGGGGCGGTGGAGAAGACACAGTTGCCCCAGGCTGTGCGCAGGCGGCCTGGTGCTCCCTTCCTCTGTGAGGCCTCCGTTTTCAGAGTAACAGTGACCGCTAGGTGATGCCCGACGCCTGCCAGTGAGCGTGTCAGCCCGGAATGAATTGGGATCCCCTGGGGAGGGGGTGGGGGGAAGGATGGAGGCTCCCACAGCACAGTGGGTCACCGCGCCCTCCAAGGCGATCCCCACAACTAATCGACCAGGGCTCCTGGGGGGACGCAGCCTAAGTCCCCCACCCATCGGATCATCTGGAACTTCCGTCCAGAGACGAGAGACCGACTGGGAATCCTCTCAGTCAAGGTCCAAACCGAAAAGAATCACTGGCACGGACACCAGGGCTAAGGCCATTTCTAAAAGACTGCTTTCTGTGTTTTGGGTGAATCCGTGTATTTCTGTATCACAAAATGACTGACTTTGAACGTTACGATTTTTCTCCTCCTTACGTGTACGGTCCTGTGATAGACAGACCAGGGGACTCCTCGGCTCAGAGTCCGTGAGGCCAGAAGCTGACGTCCCAAATTTCTATTTAGAATGAGTTTAAGCACGCCAGCCAAACGCTCTGCCGTGAAACTGTCTGTCGGGAAGACAAGCGGGGGAAGGGGAAAGGGGGGGTCCGGGCGCGGTAGGCTCGCGCCTGTCATCCCCGCACTTTTGGGAGGCCGAGGGCCGGTGGATCCCTCGGTCCAAGCCTTGGCAACACGGTGAAACCTCGTCTCAAAAAAAAAAAAAAAAAAAAAAAATTACAAAAACTAACTGGTTTCATAACCTGGACTCAAAGTTAATAAATAGATAAATAGGCCGGGGGCGGTGGCTCACGCCTGTCATCCCAGCACTTTGGGAGGCCGAGGTGGACGGATCACGGGGTCAGGAGATCGAGACCATCCTGGCTACCACAGTGAAACCCCATCTCTACTCAAAATACAAAAAGTTAGCCGGGCACGGTGGCGGGCGCCTGTAGTCCCAGCTACTTGGGAGGCTGAGGCAGGAGAATGGCGTGAACCCGGGAGGCGGAGCTTGCAGTGAGCCGAGATCACGCCGCTGCACTCCAGCCTGGGCAGCAGAGCGAGAGTCTGTCTCGAAAATAAATAAATAAGTAAATAAATAAATAAATAAATAAATGTAAATAAATAAATAGATTAAAATGGAAAACTAAAAAAAAGTAAAATAATTAAAAAAATAAATAAATAAACGTAGCCGGCCAGTCACGATGGCTCACGCCTGTCACCCCAGCACTTTGGGAGGCCGGGGCGGGCAGATCCACTGGGGTCGCCAGTTCGAGACCAGCCTGACCCACATGGAGAAATGCCGTCTCTACTAACAATACAAAATCAGCCGGGTGTGGTGGCTCCTCCCTGTAATCCCAGCTACTCAGGAGGCTGAGGCAGGAGAATCGCTTGAACGCGGGAGGTGGAGGTTGCGGTGAGCCGAGATGGTGCCACTGCACTCCAGCGTGGGCACCAAGAGTGAAACTCCGTCCGAAGGGAAAAAAAAAAATTAATTAAGTGCTGTATTCTGTTATTTTTGCTTCCTACCCTGAGAAGAACATAATACAGCTGTTGTCTTTCTGCCTGCCTGCCTGCCTGCCTGCCTGCCTGTGGCAGGGCCTCATTCTGTCTTTCGCCCAGACTGGAGCACAGTGACACAACTATGGCTCACTCACTGCAACCTCAACCTCCCCAGGGTTAGGCGATTCCTCGAGGGATCCTACGGCCTCGGCCTCCCAAAGTGTTGGGGTTACAGGCGTGAGCCACCAGCACCCGGCCTGAGTTAATACATCTGGTCTCACTACGTCTTAACCACGCACCCACGAAGAACTCAAGTCAAGAGAGAGTCGGCAAGAGACTCTCAGCATTCTCTCCCGAAAGCACGTGTGTCCCGAGCTCCTGTGGTTTCAGGTGGCCGCGCGTAGAGGAGAGATTTCCAATGTTTCCGGAGAGGTGCGAGCCACAGTCACTCGGGGCATCCGAGCATGAGATGGGGTTTCTGACAGCGACTGAAGGGCCAGGAAGGGCCAGAATCTGCCAAGGCCCGGCGTTCCAGGGTGGGGCCGAGGGAACCCAAGGTAGAGGGAGTCAGCGGTCCGCACGGAGAGAGCTCCAGCCCTAGGCCCCACTGTGCAGACCGAATCAGAAGGAAGAGAGTCCTTCGTCCTACCTGCCACACCCCTCACATCCCCCCACTGAACTTGGGAGTGGATCCGTGTTCTAAACACGAGGTGACTCTCCGTTTGCAATGGATCACAAGGCGCCGGGCTTTCCAGAGTCAGCAGGATAAAGAAGTCATTCTGTCTCGGACTCCCCCATCCCCCGGTAACGGCGGCTGGTGCCTTTAAATGAGCCGGGGCTGGCCGGGCCGGAGCCGCTATGGGGGGGGGGGGGTGCCTGTGGCACTGCAGAAAGTGGGCCTGAGCCTCGAGGATGGCGGTGCTGCAGGGACCCGTCCAGGCTGCTATATGGCAAGCACTAAACCACTATGCCTACCGAGATGCGGTTTCCCCCGCAGAACGCCTTTATGCAGAAGTACACTCAGAAGAAGCCTTGTTCTTACTGGCGACCTGTTCTTACCGCTCAGGAAAGGCCTATAAAACATATAGACTCTTGAAAGGACACAGTTGTACTACCCCGCAATGCAAATGCCTGCTTGCGAAATGTTGTGTTGATCTCAGCAAGCTTGCAGAAGGGGATCAAATCTTATCGGGTGGAGTGTTTCATAAGCAGAAAAGCCACGATGATATTATCGTTCCTGAGTTTGGTGATTCAGCTCGCTTTCCCCTTCCATCGTCGGGACATGTATATTGCAAGACAGATCGGCTTACCAAAGGATCAGAATGTGACCAAAAGAGCCTTCGTTGAAATCCTTTCCTCTGGTGTCCCTTTGAATCATGATGTGAAATAGGGGGGAAAAGCCAGATCCTGACCAAACATTTTGATTCACCTCTCTAGAGAGCTTTAGCAACTGCCTGTCCAAGTGTTGCGCCACAACACTTGGACCTCGTCCTAGTTTATGTCACAGACAGCCCGAGACCGTTCTTACGGAAACACCCCAGGACACCGTCGAATGAAACGGATGGAATTTAGAATCTTCCAATTCAAAGTACTCCTTGAATACAGACTCCCCAGTGTCTTCTATCGATTCAGCTGTCCTTTCACCTGATACTGTCCCACTGGGAACAGGAACTTCCATATGATCTAAACAGGTTCAACATAAACCAAAAACTGGTCGAAGTTTATTAGGAGGACCAGCAGCTGTTAGTCCATTAACCCCAAGCGTTGGCATTTTGCCATTAGAAACCCCAAGTCCCGGAGACGGACCCTATTGACAAAACTGCACTGGTATGAGACACCGTCTGTCATTGACGTGCCATCCACCGGAGCCCCTTCAAAAAAGCCTGTTGCCAGAATCGGCCAAACCGGAACACCGTCTGTCTTCTCGCAGAGGGGAAAGAGCCGAAAGGTAACTCCAGTCCTTGCAAAAACACAAAGTTCTGGTCCGCCGACAAGGGCAACACCTCAGGTATTGAGCCCCACTATGGCATCTCCCCCAAATGCACCGCCTCGAAGAAATTCACGACTCTTGACTAGTGACAGCTCCACAACCGAGGAGAATAGGAGAAAATTAAAAATGAAGTTTCCACCTAAAATCCCAAACAGAAGAACCAAAAGTAAAACTAATAAAGGAGCAATAACTCCACCGAACATAAGTGATAGCCTGGAAGTGACAAAATTGGACTCTTCCGTCATTTCAGAAGGGGAAATAGCCGCAATCGCGCCTCAGATTCAGGCTTTTAATCTACAAAAAGCAGCAGCGGAAGGCTTGATGAGCCTTCTTCGTGAAAGGGGGAAAGGTTATTTAGCTTTGTGTTCTTACCACGGCAAAGAAGCTATCAGCATCTTGAGCCATCTAGCTTCTCACCACTGCAATACCGGTTGGGTACTGTGCCAAATCGGAAGGGCCTATTGTAAACTTTCAGAGTCCACGCAAGCTGAAAGACAATTCTCAGAGGTTAGGAGGATTGAGAATTACAGAGTCGAAGGCATGGAGATCTACTCTACAACACTTTGGCATCCTCCGAAAGAGGTTGCTCTTTCAGTTCTGTCCAAAGACTTCACAGACATGGATAAAAATTCGCCAGCCAGAGGCCTGGTGTGCTGCAGGGAACTGTTTCGGTCTGCAACGGGAACACGATATTGCGATTCAATTCTTCCAGAGAACTCTCGAAGTGGATCCAAATGATGCTTATGCCTATAGCGCATTAGGGCGTGAGCTTGTCTTCACTGAAGAACTGGACAAAGCATTAGCTTGTTTTCGAAATGCTATCAGGGTCAATCCTAGACATTGTGAGGCATGGTAAGTGCTAATGAAGCGTAAAGACAAAGCCCTATGGATGGTGCCGGTACTCGCTAATTTTTCTGGTTAGATAGCTCTTTATTGTCACGAATTTGGTGAAAAATACTTAGGGATGGTACCTACTGCTGAATAACTTCTAACTAAGATGTTTCCTTACGAAACGTATGTCTTGAACAAACTCTGAAGTGAACTCATGATCGTAGAATACCAGATCCTTATACTCAACAGTTTCAGTCTTCTAGCAAACTTTTGCAGACGCTGTAGTTGTCTTTGGTTTGTGTGTGTGTTTCTTTAGTTGTGTTCCTTGATTTGTTACTTTTTCTTCGAGCACCGAAGTGGTGATGGGGACAAGAAGTGCTTGGGAGACTGGAAAGGAATAGCATAGTTCACTTATTGGATAATAGAAAAATACATGGAAACAATTCACTAGCTGCTGCTTTTTGACAGTGTTCCAGTTTACGGAGTTACTATGAAGAACTTCACGTACCCTTTAATTTAGCAGTCTCTCTGTTTTACTCTTTTGTACTCGTGTATAAGTAGGCACATAGGAAATTACTACCTAGGTCATATTGTTATCAACTGAATAAGATAGGAAAAAGTGTGGTCCTACTTCTGCCTCAACACCATCCTCACCGTTGACATTTATTGCGTTTCTCTGGACTGACTTCATAGTTTAAACGTCAAGAGAAGGCCGGGCTCAGTGGCTCACGCCTGTCATCCCAGCACTTTGGGAGGCCGAGGCGGGCGGGTCACGAGGTCAAGAGATCGAGACCATCCGGGCCGACACGGTGAAACCCCGTCTCTATTAAAAGTATAAAGATTAGCTGGGCGTGGTGGCGGGCACCTGTAGTCCCAGCTACTCGGGAGGCTGAGGCAGGAGAATCGCTTGAACCCAGGGAGGTGGCGGTTGCAGTGAGCCGAGATCACACCATCGCACTCCAGCCTGGGCGACAGAGCGAGACGCCGTCTCAAGAGAAATAAATTAAAAAAAATAAATACATACATAAGTAAATATCAAGAGAAAGTATGATTCTGAAGTCATAACCCTGTGGTAGTTATTTTGTCAGATACGGTGATCTTTGGGGTGACTTATTACAGCAGTGGAGTTCTATCATTTGATTTGCTTCTAAATCTGAAGCATTATATTACTGAAACACTTTTTGATTTGCGAATATGTTGTTTAATGGATCATATCTCATTTTGCTGTAGTAGTTACATTGCCCGAAAGATGGCCAAAAAGATAGTGCCAGCTACTGCTGACCAACGTAACAATCAACTTGCCAATACTGCCTTCTCTTCCGATAGCTACGTTCTCCGTCCTATTTTAAGAACTCAGTTCTTCATAAGACTTGTGTGGTTTTCGATTTTTTCCCAAGTCTGGTTGATCCTTGTGTTGTTATTTTTTTAAATGTGTATCGTCTGTTCAGCTATTTTGCAGGAGTCGCATTCTTAAAAAAATCTTAACCCTATCAAAAATTGTGTTTGTTTAAAGGAGGATTATTCAGATCGGCCAGCTTTTACTAGGAAGAGTGTAAATGCTGACGTATTTAGGTAGCTCTAAATACTGAGCAACTTTATTCTAACCACAAAATAGATAGCCTTTCTTTTGTCTTCACTTTCACTATCATTAGCACAGTGTTTAATACCGTTTCTTCATCTATAACACAATTATAATGATATAGGAAGCCACTCAAATAAGGCAGACATGTTGCGTTGCGCTTAAAAAAAAAAAAAAAAAAAGAAGTCTCTCTGTGGCACGGAATGAGGTGTGGCTCGAATCTAGAATCTCCAGTGAAAACCAATGAAAGAGGGTGAAACCCCGTGTCTACCAAAAAAAAAAAAAAAAAAAATGAGCCGGCCATGGTGGCGCTGAGACAGGAGAATCACTTGAACCCAGGAGGCAGAGGTTCCAGTGAGCTGAGATCACGCCACTGCACTCCAGCCTGGGGGACAGAGCAAGACTCCATCTCAGAAACAAACAAACACACAAAGCCAGTCAAGGTGTTTAATTCGACGGTGTCAGGCTCAGGTCTCTTGACAGGATACATCCAGCACCCGGGGGAAACGTCGATGGGTGGGGTGGAATCTATTTTGTGGCCTCAAGGGAGGGTTTGAGAGGTAGTCCCGCAAGCGGTGATGGCCTAAGGAAGCCCCTCCGCCCAAGAAGCGATATTCATTTCTAGCCTGTAGCCACCCAAGAGGGAGAATCGGGCTCGCCACAGACCCCACAACCCCCAACCCACCCCACCCCCACCCCTCCCACCTCGTGAAATGGGCTCTCGCTCCGTCAGGCTCTAGTCACACCGTGTGGTTTTGGAACCTCCAGCGTGTGTGCGTGGGTTGCGTGGTGGGGTGGGGCCGGCTGTGGACAGAGGAGGGGATAAAGCGGCGGTGTCCCGCGGGTGCCCGGGACGTGGGGCGTGGGGCGTGGGTGGGGTGGCCAGAGCCTTGGGAACTCGTCGCCTGTCGGGACGTCTCCCCTCCTGGTCCCCTCTCTGACCTACGCTCCACATCTTCGCCGTTCAGTGGGGACCTTGTGGGTGGAAGTCACCATCCCTTTGGACTTTAGCCGACGAAGGCCGGGCTCCCAAGAGTCTCCCCGGAGGCGGGGCCTTGGGCAGGCTCACAAGGATGCTGACGGTGACGGTTGGTGACGGTGATGTACTTCGGAGGCCTCGGGCCAATGCAGAGGTATCCATTTGACCTCGGTGGGACAGGTCAGCTTTGCGGAGTCCCGTGCGTCCTTCCAGAGACTCATCCAGCGCTAGCAAGCATGGTCCCGAGGATCCCAGCTCCCAGCAGAGGCACTTTTGGTCACACAGGATCCTGGGCAGGAAAGTTCTCAGCAGGCTTAGGCCTCCTAGCCAAAAAGCCAAAACCACTTCTGGGATTTTTTTCAAAGAGCCAGTGGTTCCACAAGGGGCCGTGGGTAGTTGTGGAAATGGAGAGAAGTGTTTGCACGTACATATTTGAGACAGGACGGACAGGGCTCGGTCACAGATCACTTAGGACACGGGCAGATGCACATTGAGAAAACTCTTCCGGCATCCTAGGGGAACAGAGGTACGATTTTTCGAGACAGTCGAGGGAGAAGCCACCCCAGATTTTAGGATTGGATCTTTATTCATATGTAGTTTCTATGAGGTATCCAAGTCCAGAAATCAACTCGCCAGTTCTGTACAGCATTCTGTAGGGAGATCAAATCTGGGATGTCAGAAGTGAAGAATTCAGGCCTTGGTAAGGGATTAGATTAGATGTACTTGAGCTTCTTTTGCAAAAAAAGAGAGGGCGGGAGATAGCGAGAGCCAGAGACCGAGACAGACAGACGGACAGACAGACAGAGAGAGAGAGAGAGAGAGAGAGAGACAGAGAGACAGAGACAGAGACAGACAGAGAGAGACAACGATACACAGAGAGAGAAAGACAGAAAGAGAGAGAGAGACAGATAAAGAGACAGACGGAGAGAGACAGATAAAGAGACAGACGGAGAAAGACAGAGATGGACAGAGACAGAGAGAAACAGAAAGAGAGAGAAACAGACAGGAAGGGAGAGAGACAGGCAGAGAGAGAGAGACAAACAGACAGGCAGACAGACAGGCAGAGAAAGAGAGTAAGACAGAAGGCAGACACACACACACACACACACACACACATACACACACACACACACACACACCCCCACAGAGAGAGAGAGACAGAGAGAGAGACAGAGACAGACAGAGAGACAGAGAGAAAGAGACAGAGAGAGAAAGACAGACAGAGAGAAACAGACAGAAAGAGAGACACAGACAGAGACAGAGAAACAGCCGACGGGGGGAGAGAGAGAGAGAGACAGACAGAGAGAGACAGACAGACAGACAGGCAGAGAAAGACAGTAAGACAGAAGACAGACACACAGAGAGAGAGAGAGAGACAGAGACAGAAAGAAAGACAAAGACAGAGAGAGAGAGAGAGAGAGAGAGAGAGAGAGAAACAGACAGGGGGAGAGAGAGAGAGAGACAGACAGACAGGGAGAGAGAGAGAGAGAGACTAAGACAGAAGACAGACACAGTGAGAGAGACAGAGACAGAGAGAAGGAAAGACAAAGACAGACAGACAAAGAGACAGACAGAGAAAGACAGAGACGGACAGAGAGACAGAGAGAAACAGAAAGAGAGAGAGAGACACACAGAGAGAGAGAGTGAGAGAGACAGGCAGGCAGAGAGAGAGAGTAAGACAGAAGACAGAGTGAGAGAGACAGGCAGAGAGAGACAGAGAGAAGGAAAGAGAGAGACAGTCAGAGAAAGACAGAGACGGAGAGAGAGAAACAGAAAGAGAGAGAGAGACAGAGACAGAGAGAAACATACAGACAGGGAGAGAGAGAGAGAGAGACCGACAGACAGACAGAGAAAGGGAGTAAGACAGAAGACAGACACAGTGAGAGAGACAGGCAGAGAGAGAGAGAGAGAGAGAGAGGCAGAGAGAGAGAAACAGACAGGCAGAGAGAGAGAGACACAGAGAGAGAGAGAGAGAGAAGACAGACAGAGAAAGAGAGAGACAGAGACAGACAGAGAGACAGAGAGAGGGGGAGGAAGGGCGTGCTCAAGAAATAATCACACATATTTTATAATGCTTTTGATCCCATAAACGGTGGCCGGGGTATACTTTGAAAACAACGACAACGACAACAACAACGACAACGACAACAGCAACGACGACAACAACAACAACAACAACAGCAACAAGAGCAGCAGCAGCATTCGCCTACGGATTTCTAGAAAATAAGATGTCATGATGAAGGATAGTAAACATCAACCGGCTCTCACTGCACGTTGAGAGAGTCACAAAAGCGCTAGTTCACAACAGGAAAAAACGGCAGCTAACGTGTCTTGGGGAAAATAGACGTCTTCCTGAAAACTGGGGATTTCTACTTCACCTGAAAAGAAAGACATACGAGAAAGGAAAAACACGAACAAAACAAAACAGAACGAAACAAAACAAGCCAACAAACACGGGCCAAGGCGCCGTCCCTGGAAATCTTAAGTGAGCAAAGTTATTAGTTTTCAGAAAGCGTTTCTATTTTGGGCAAGTACTGAGAAGGCCCAGACTAGAGCCGTGGCGCCCTTCGCATTGTGAAACTCTGCTGGCCGGAGGGCGGAGAAACTAAAACATCGTGATAAAAGGTGACCGAGACCCAGCCAGGGTGAAGCTTTCCTAGGGAGGGAGGCCTGAGGCGGGAAGCAGCGGGGGGAAAAGCCTCACAACTGCAGACCCGCCCGCTTGCCCACGCGGGTCAAGGGGCTATGCCATCGGCCCAAGCTGCCTCCGGGGAAGTGGGACCGTGCCGCCCCCATCTTCAAAAACGGTGGCCCCCGAGTGAGGCCTGACGCCCACCGATGCAAATGTCAGCCTGGCAAGAATGAGATCGCCGGCAAGGGGTGGGGGAAGGGGAGAGAAGACGGAGGCACACCGGGGTGGCTCTGGAAGGTTTCCAAGCAGGGTGTTGGGAGGCGGGGGGGGGGGGGCGGTTTGGGGGAAACCCACCTAACCGACTCACTAAATTAAGGTGAAGGGACGTGGGTAGTGGGGGGAGCCGGGGGGCAACTTGAAAATTAAACTGACCCTTCCCAAAGCCCAAGTAGAAGAGTCTAGGCGCCAAAACACAAAGAAAAGTAAAGCGCCGATCAAAGAACAATAGGGCCCCCGCCAGGGCGGAGGTTCCCTAGGCGAGGTTCCCTAGGCAACGAGGGAGAGAGGGAGGGGCCTCCAGAAGGGAGAGAGAGAAACCCGTTGCCCCAGGCTCGGTGAAGTCGGCGAGACCTCCCTCCGTGTCACGTCGACTTTCAATAACAGTGGCCGCTAGGTGATGCCCGAAGACAACCGATGCCTGCCTGCAAATGTCCGTCAGCAGGGAAAAGAATTAATGAATTAATTAATTTCCGTATTTATTTAGAGACCGAGTCTCACTCACTCTACAGCCTGGGCCGTAGTGCAGTGGCGCGATCTCGGCTCCCTGCAGCCTCCGCTTCCCTGGTTCAAGCGATTCTCCCGCCTCAGCCTCCCGAGGAGCTGGCATTACAGGGGCCTGCCCCACCGCTCCCGACTCAGCTTTGTATTTTTAGTAGAGACGGGGTTTCGCCGTGTTGCGTCCGGCCTTAACAGTTTATGTTGAAGTCGAGGAGCTTATCGGGGAAATAGGAGAAGTACGGACGCCACACGTGACCGAGAGAAAAGTCTGAAAATGCCCCTCGCATCCAAGCGGGGACCCGGCCTCGACCTCCCGAAATCGTACACCGAGTGGGGAAGCCCAGCAAGGCCCGCCTGTCTAGATTCCTCTCGGCCTCTCTAAGCACCGAAGCACGCGCTTCTCACTCTCGTGGAAGGGGCAGGGCCCTACCCGGCACGGGGGTGTCTGACAGACTGACAGAGAAAGAGACAGACATAGAAAGACAGAGATGGACAGCGAGAGATAGAGAGAAACAGACAGAAAGAGAAAGAGAGAGAGACAGAGACAGAGACAGAGAGAGAGAGACAGACAGACAGACAGGGAGGGAGAAAGACAAACAGAGAGAGAGAGAGAGAGAGAGAGAGAGAGAGAGACAGACAGACAGACAGACAGACAGAGAAACAGACAGAAAGAGAGAGAGAGACGGAGAGAGAGTGAGTGAGAGGGAGAGAGAGAGACATGGAGGGAGAGAGACAGACAGAGAGAGAAACAGACAGAAAGAGAGAGAGAGACGGAGAGAGAGTGAGTGAGAGAGAGAGAGAGAGACATGGAGGGAGAGAGACAGACAGAGAGAGAAACAGACAGAAAGAGAGAGAGACGGAGAGAGAGTGAGTGAGAGAGAGAGAGAGACATGGAGGGAGAGAGACAGACAGACAGAGAGGCAGGCAGAGAAAGAGAGTAAGACAGAAGACAGACACAGTGAGAGAGACAGGCAGAGAGAGAGAGAGACAGAGACAGAGAGAGAGAAAGAGAAAGAGACAGACAGAGATGGACAGAGAGACAGAGACAGAGAGAGAAACAGACAGACAGGGAGGGAGGGACGGAGACAGGCAGAGAGAGAGAGACAGGCAGACAGCCAGAGAAAGAGAGTAAGACAGAAGATAGGCACAGAAAGAGAGACAGACACAGAGAGAGACAGAGAGACAGAGAAAAAGAAAGAGAGAGACAGACAGACAGAGAAAGAGACAGACAGAGAGAGAAAGAGAGAAACAGACAGAAAGAGAGAGAGAGAGAAACAGAAAGGGAGGGAGAGAGAGGGAGAGACAGACAGACAGACGGACAGGCAGAGAAGGAGAGTAAGACAGAAGACAGACACACACAGTGAGAGAGACAGACAGAGAGAGAGAGAGAGAGAGAGAGAGAGAGAGAGAGAGGCAGAGACAGAGACAGAGAGAAAGAGAGAGACAGACATAGAAAGACAGAGATGGACAGAGAGACAGAGAGAAACACCCAGAAAGAGAGAGAGAGACAGAGAAAGAGAAAGGGAGGGAGAGAGAGAGAGAGAGAGAGAGAGAGAGACAGACACACAGACAGGCAGGCAGGCAAGGAAACAGAGTAAGACAGAAGATAGGAACAGAGAGAGAGAGAGAGAGACAGAGAGACGCAGAAAAAGAAAGAGAGAGGCAGACAGACAGAGAAAGACAGAGACAGACAGAGAGAAACAGGCAGAAAGAGAGAGAGAGAGAGAAAAACAGACAGGAAAGGAGAGAGAGAGAGAGACAGAGAGAGAAAGAGAATAAGACAGAAGACAGACACAGTGAGAGAGGCAGAGAGAGAGAGAGAGAGAGAGAGACAGAGACAGAGACAGAGAGAAAGAGACAGACAGACAGAGAAAGAGACAGACAGAGAAAGACAGAGAGAGAAAGAGAGAAACAGGCAGAGAGAGAGAGAGCTAGCGAGAGAGAAACAGAAAGGTAGGGAGAGAGAGAGAGAGACAGACAGACAGATGGACAGGCAGAGAAGGAGAGTAAGACAGAAGACAGACACAGTGAGAGAGACAAGGAGAGAGAGAGAGAGAGAGACAGAGACAGAGACAGAGACAGACGACAGAAAGAAAGAGAGAGACAGACAGACAGAAAAAGACAGAGACGGACAGAGAGAGACAGAGAAACAGAGAGAAAGAGAGAAAGACAGAGAGAGCGAGAGAGGGAGAGAGAGAGAAACAGAAAGGCAGGGAGAGAGACAGAGAGAGACAGACAGATAGACAGGCAGAGAAAGAGAGTAAGACAGAAGATAGGCACAGAGAGAGAGACAGAGAGACACAGAAAGAGAAAGAGAGAGGCAGACAGACAGAGAAAGGGACAGACAGAGAAAGACAGAGACAGAGAGAGAGAGAGAGAGAGAGAGAGAGAAACAGACAGAAAGAGAGAGGGACAGGGAGAGAGAGAGACAGACAGACAGACGGACAGGCAGAGAAGGAGAGTAAGACAAAAGATACACACAGAGAGGGAGAGACAGAGAGAGAGAGAGACAGAGACAGAGACAGAGAGAATGAAACAGACAGACAGAGAGAGACAGTGAGAAACAGACAGAAAGAGAGGGAGACAGAGAGAAACAGACAGGGAGGGGGGAGAGAGAGAGAGAGAGAGAGAAGCAGAAAGGGAGGGAGAGACAGAGAGAGACAGACAGACAGGCAGAGAAAGAGAGTAAGACAGAAGATAGGCACAGAGAGAGAGAGAGACAGACAGAGAGACACAGAAAAAGAAAGAGAGGGGCAGACAGACAGAGAAAGAGACAGATAGAGAAAGAGAGAGGCAGACAGAGAGAGACAGAAACAGACAGAAAGAGAGAGAGAGAGAAACAGACAGGGAGGGAGTGAGAGAGAGACAGACGGGGAGAGAAAGAGAGTAAGATAGAAGACAGACACAGTGAGACAGGCAGAGAGGGAGAGAGAGGGACAAAGACAGAGACAGAAAGAAAGAAAGAGACAGACAGACAGACAGACAGACAGAGAAAGAGACACAGAGAGAAAGACAGAGACGAACAGAGAGAAACAGACAGAGAGAAGGCCCTAGCCCAGTAGCAATACAGTGCCTTTTCTTTCATTTTCTCTTTCTTTTCTTTTCTTTTTTTCTTTCTTGTATATCTGTATGTATGTATGTATGTATGTATGTATGTATGTATGTATGTGTGTATTTATTTATGTACGTATTTATCTGGAGACCGGGTCTCACTCTGTCGCCCAGGCTGTAGTGCAGTGGTGCGATCTTGGGTCACTGCAGCCTCCGCCTGCCAGGTTCAAGCAATTCTTCCACCCCAGCCTCCCGAGTAGCTGGGGTTACAGGTGCCTGCCCCACGGCGCCTGACTCCATTTCGTATTTTCAGTAGAGACGGGGGTTTCACCACGTTGGCCGGGCTGGTCTCGAACTCCTGACCTCGGGATGACAGACGTGAGCCACTGCGTTCAGTGTACAGTACCATTTCTTAGAAATCACTCCTCACGGGAACACACACTTATGGGTGACGTGTAGAGATTTTAGTTAGTTAGTTAGTTAGTTAGTTATTATGTGCGCGGGGAGGTGGGGGGACGGAGTTTGGCTCTTGCTGCCCAGGCTACAGTGCAATGGCCTAGGGGACTCAAGGAGTCAACCTATGGCAGAGAGGACACGTCATTCTGAGCGTAAGGGCCGCAGCGAAAGGTGGCAGGGCCCGCGCTTTTAAAGGCTGAAATCCCGGCGGCTCAGGCCTGTCGTTTCCAGCACTTTGGGAGGCCCAGGAAGGTGGATCATTTGTGGTCAGGAGTTCGAGACCAGCGTGGCCAACGTGGAGAAACCCCGTCTCTACTAAAAATAGAACGATGAGCCGGCCGTCATGGTGCGCACCTGTAATCCCAGCTACCGAAGAAGAATCACTGGAACCCGGGAAGCAGAGGTTTCAGTGAGCCGAGAGAGCGCCACCGCACCGCAGCCTGGGTGACAGAGCGAGAGAGACTCAGTCCAAAAAAAAAGAAAGAAAAGAAGAAGAAGAAAAAAAGAACGGGCCCAAATACTGCATTGTCGCTGAACGTTCTCCCAAAAGGCCAGAAACCCCCTGACTCAGGTCAAGGAGGTGGTGGTTGGTTTTACTTCTCTTTCTCTCTCTCTCTCTCTCTCTCTCTCTCTCTCTCTCTCTCTCTCTCTCCCCCCCCCTCTCCCCCCTCTCTCCCCGTCTCTCTCTCTCTCTCCTCTCTTCTCCCCCCCGAACTTTTATTTGTCGTTCAAGCATACATGAGCAAGACTGTGACATAGGTAAACTTGTGACGGGGGTGTTCAGTGTGCAGATGATTTCATCACCCGGGTAGTCAGTGCTGTGTCCGACAGTATTCGTGTTTTGTTTTCTTCCTGAAGCTGTCTCTCCTTCCACCCCTCCTCCCTCAAGCAGGCTTCCGCGTCCCCGGTCCCCCTCGTTCTGCCCATGCAAGAACTGTCATCTGTAAGTTCCCACTTCTAGATGAGAACACGCGGTATTTAGCCGATCTTTGCTTTCATCTTCGGTGGTGGCGGTGAAAGAGGCATGACACTAAATCGACCCTTAGGACGCCGTTTATGTTGAAGTCGAGGAGCTTATCGGGGAAATAGGAGAAGTACGGACGCCACACGTGACCGAGAGAAAAGTCTGAAAATGCCCCTCGCATCCAAGCGGGGACCCGGCCTCGACCTCCCGAAATCATACACCGAGTGGGGAAGCCCAGCAAGGCCCGCCTGTCTAGATTCCTCTCGGCCTCTCTAAGCACCGAAGCACGCGCTTCTCACTTTCGTGGAAGGGGCAGGGCCCTACCCGGCACGGGGGTGTCTGACAGACTGACAGAGAAAGAGACAGACATAGAAAGACAGAGATGGACAGCGAGAGATAGAGAGAAACAGACAGACAGGGAGAGAGAGAGAGAGAGAGAGAGAGAGAGAAACAGACAGGGAGGGAGAAAGACAAATAGAGAGAGAGACAGACAGACACACAGAAAGACAGAGACAGAGAGAAACAGACAGAAAGAGAGAGAGACGGAGAGACAGTGAGTGAGAGAGAGAGAGAGAGAGACATGGAGGGAGAGAGACAGACAGACAGACAGAGAGGCAGGCAGAGAAAGAGAGTAAGACAGAAGACCGACACAGTGAGAGAGAAAGGCAGAGAGAGAGAGAGAGAGAGAGAGAGAGAGAGAGAGAGAGAGAGACAGAGAGAGACAGAGAGAGACAGAGAGAAAGAAAGAGAGAGAAAGAGAAAGAGACAGACAGAAATGGACAGAGAGAGAAACAGACAGACAGGGAGGGAGGGACGGAGACAGGCAGAGAGAGAGAGAGAGAGAGAGAGAGAGAGAGACAGGCAGTCAGCCAGAGAAAGAGAGTAAGACAGAAGATAGGCACAGACAGAGAGACAGGCACAGAGAGAGACAGAGAGACAGAGAAAAAGAAAGAGAGAGACAGACAGACAGAGAAAGAGACAGACAGAGAGAGAAAGAGAGAAACAGACAGAAAGAGAGAGAGAGAGAGAGAGAAACAGAAAGGGAGGGAGAGAGAGGGAGAGACAGACAGACAGACGGACAGGCAGAGAAGGAGAGTAAGACAGAAGACAGACACACACAGTGAGAGAGACAGACAGAGAGAGAGAGAGAGAGAGAGGCAGAGACAGAGACACACACACAGTGAGAGAGACAGACAGAGAGAGAGAGAGAGAGGCAGAGACAGAGACAGGGAGAAAGAGAGAGACAGACAGAGAAAGACAGAGATGGACAGAGAGACAGAGAGAAACAGATAGAAAGAGAGAGACAGAGAGAGAGAGAGGCAGAGGCAGAGACAGAGACAGGGAGAAAGAGAGAGACGGACAGAGAAAGACAGAGATGGACAGAGAGACAGAGAGAAACAGACAGAAAGAGAGAGAGACAGAGAGAGAGAGAGACAGACAGACAGACAGGCAGGCAGAGAAACAGAGTAAGACAGAAGATAGGCACAGAGAGAGAGAGACAGAGAGACGCAGAAAAAGAAAGAGAGAGGCAGACAGAGAAAGACGGAGACAGGCAGAGAGAAACAGACAGAAAGAGAGAGAGAGAGAGAGAGAAAGAGACAGGAAGGGAGAGAGAGAGACAGACAGACAGAGAAAGAGAATAAGACAGAAGACAGACACAGTGAGACAGGCAGAGAGAGAGAGACAGAGAGAGAGAGACAGAGACGGAGACAGAGAGAAGGAGACAGACAGACAGAGAAAGAGACAGACAGAGAAAGACAGAGACAGACAGAGAGAGAAAGAGAAACAGGCAGAGAGAGAGAGAGAGAGAGAGAGAGAGCGAGAGAGAAACAGAAAGGGAGGGAGAGAGAGAGAGACAGACAGACAGACGGACAGGCAGAGAAGGAGAGTAAGACAGAGGACAGACACAGTGAGAGAGACAAGCAGAGAGAGAGAGAGAGACAGAGACAGAGACAGACAGAAAGAAAGAGAGAGACAGACAGAAAAAGACAGAGACGGACAGAGAGAGACAGAGAAACAGAGAGAAAGAGAGAAAGACAGAGAGAGCGAGAGAGGGAGAGAGAGAGGGAGAGAGAGAGAGAAACAGAAAGGCAGGGAGAGAGACAGAGAGAGACAGACAGACAGACAGGCAGGCAGGCAGAGAAAGAGAGTAAGACAGAAGATAGGCACAGAGAGAGAGACAGAGAGACACAGAAAGAGAAAGAAAGAGAGAGGCAGACAGACAGAGAAAGACAGAGACAGAGAGAGAGAGAGGAACAGACAGAAAGAGAGAGGGACAGAGAGAGAGAGAGACAGAAAGGGAGAGAGAGACAGACAGACAGACAGACAGACGGACAGGCAGAGAAGGAGAGTAAGACAGAAGATACACACAGAGAGTGAGAGACAGAAAGAGAGAGAGAGAGAGAGAGAGAGAGAGAGACAGACAGACAGAGAGAACGAAAGAGACAGACAGAGAGAGAGAGAGATGGACAGAGAGAGACAGTGAGAAACAGACAGAAAGAGAGAGAGACGGAGAGAAACAGACAGGGAGAGGGGGAGAGAGAGAGAGAGAGAGAGAGAAACAGAAAGGGAGGGAGAGACAGACAGACAGGCAGAGAAAGAGAGTAAGACAGAAGATAGGCACAGAGAGAGAGAGAGAGAGACAGACAGACAGACAGAGAGAGAGAGACCGACAGAGAGACACAGAAAAAGAAAGAGAGAGGCAGACAGACAGAGAAAGAGACAGACAGAGAAAGACATAGACAGACAGAGAGAGACAGAAACAGACAGAAAGAGAGAGAGAGAAACAGACAGGGAGGGAGAGAGAGAAACAAACAGGGAGGGAGAGAGAGAGAGAGAGACAGACGGGGAGAGAAAGAGAGTAAGACAGAAGACAGACACAGTGAGACAGGCAGAGAGGGAGAGAGAGAGACAAAGACAGAGACAGAGACAGAGAGAAAGAAAGAGACAGACAGACAGAGAAAGAGACACAGAGAGAAAGACAGAGACGAACAGAGAGAAACAGACAGAGAGAAGGCCCTAGCCCAGTAGCAATACAGTGCCTTTTCTTTCATTTTCTCTTTCTTTTCTTTTCTTTTTTTCTTTCTTGTATATCTGTATGCATGGATGTATGTATGTATGTATGTATGTATGTATGTATGTATGTATGTGTGTATTTATTTATGTACGTATTTATCTGGAGACCGGGTCTCACTCTGTCGCCCAGGCTGTAGTGCAGTGGTGCGATCTTGGGTCACTGCAGCCTCCGCCTGCCAGGTTCAAGCAATTCTTCCACCCCAGCCTCCCGAGTAGCTGGGGTTACAGGTGCCTGCCCCACGGCGCCTGACTCCATTTCGTATTTTCAGTAGAGACGGGGGTTTCACCACGTTGGCCGGGCTGGTCTCGAACTCCTGACCTCGGGATGACAGACGTGAGCCACTGCGTTCAGTGTACAGTGCCATTTCTTAGAAATCACTCCTCACGGGAACACACACTTAGAGGTGACGTGTAGAGATTTTATTTATTTAGTTAGTTTAGTTAGTTAGTTAGTTTGTTAGTTAGTTATTATGTGCGCGGGGAGGTGGGGGGACGGAGTTTGGCTCTTGCTGCCCAGGCTACAGTGCAATGGCCTAGGGGACTCAAGGAGTCAACCTACGGCAGAGAGGACACGTCATTCTGAGCGTAAGGGCCACAGCGAAAGGTGGCAGGGCCCGCGCTTTTAAAGGCTGAAATCCCGGCGGCTCAGGCCTGTCGTTTCCAGCACTTTGGGAGGCCCAGGAAGGCGGATCATTTGAGGTCAGGAGTTCGAGACCAGCGTGGCCAACGTGGAGAAACCCCGTCTCTACTGAAAATAGGAATATGAGCCGGCCGTCATGGTGTGCGCCTGTAATCCCAGCTACCGAAGAAGAATCACTGGAACCCGGGAAGCAGAGGTTTCAGTGAGCCGAGAGAGCGCCACCGCACCGCAGCCTGGGTGACAGAGCGAGAGAGACTCAGTCCAAAAAAAAAGAAAGAAAAGAAGAAGAAAAAAAAAGAACGGGCCCAAATACTGCATTGTCGCTGAACGTTCTCCCAAAAGGCCAGAAACCCCCTGACTCAGGTCAAGGAGGTGGTGTTTCGTTTTCTCTCTCCCTCCTCTCTCTCTCTCTCTGTCTCTCTCTGTCTCTCTCTCTCTCTCTCTCTCCTCTCTTCTCCCCCCTAACTTTTATTTGTCGTTCAAGCATACATGTGCAAGATTGTGACATAGGTAAACTTGTGACGGGGGTGTTCAGTGTGCAGATGATTTCATCACCCGGGTAGTCAGTGCTGTGTCCGACAGTATTCGTGTTTTGTTTTCTTCCTGAAGCTGTCTCTCCTTCCACCCCTCCTCCCTCAAGCAGACTTCCGCGTCCCCGGTCCCCCTCGTTCTGCCCATGCAAGAACTGTCATCTGTAAGTTCCCACTTCTAGATGAGAACACGCGGTATTTAGCCGATCCTTGCTGTCATCTTCGGTGGTGGTGGTGGTGGTGAAAGAGGCATGACACTAAATCGACCCTTAGGACGCTCCCCTCCGTCCCCACCCCGCACCCCCTCCCCACACACACCCTCATTCCCGCACCCCCTCCTCAAACGCAAGAAAGGAAGAAATGAAAGTAAGAGGTGAGCCTGCAAGGCGGTGGAGGCGGGGGATCTCAGAGGGCGAGCAAGCGATGGCGGTCGGGGGATGTGTCGGCTGAGGTATCAAAAATAGGGGACCCAGTTTTCAGCCCCAACACACCCCCTAATCCTCAGCCGCAGCCAGCCTCTGGGTGGGGTTGCGCCTGTCAAAGCTTCCGAATGGAGAGAAGCCCAAGGCTACGGAAGGCATCAGCTCCAACTCCAGGAAGGGAATAAGGCTCTGTGCATACGAATGGGGCTTTGAAAGGCGTTGCCGCGGCTTCCAAAGCGATGCGCTGTGCCTCGCCTCGCCTCGCCCCGCCCAGAGCGAGACTCCGTCTGAAAATAAGTACACAAATAAATCATAAGATAATTCATCAAGAAAGAAAGAAAGAAAGAAAGAAAGAAAGAAAGAAAGAAAGGATCAGTAGAGCGATGGTGGTCGTGAGTCATTCCCCGGAGTCCAGGCGCAGTGGCTCACGCCCGTCACGCCAGCACTTTGAGACGCCGGGCAGGAGGGTTGCAAAGAAATGATGAGACCCCGTCTGTGGGAAAACATTTAAAAATGAAGGCCGGGCGCGGTGGCTCACGCCTGTCATCCCAGCACTTCCGGAGGCCGGGGAGGGCGGATCACCTGAGGTCGGGAGTTCGAAACCAGCCCGATCGACATGGAGAAGCCCCGTCTCCACTAAAAATACGAAATCAGCCAGACGTGGCAGCGCATGCCCGCAATCCCGGCTACTCAGGAGGCCGATGCAGGAGAATCGCTTGAAACCGGGAGGCAGAGGTTGCGGTGAGCCAAGATCGCGCCACCGCACTGCAGTCTAGGCCACGAGAGTGAAACTCTGTCTCGGGGGAAAAAAAAACAATTAAAAACGGTGTGGGCACAGTGGCGCGTGCCCGCGGTCCCAGGCTCTGTACTCTGGAGGCTGAGGTGGAAGGATCGCTCGAGTCCAGGAGCGTCCACGCTGCAGGGAGTGAGTTACGACGGCACCACTGCCGGGGTGACGGAGCGAGATGCCGTCTCTAAATCAGTCAATGAGATCACTGGAAGGCGCTCTCTGCGTCTCACTTTCCAAGAGGGTCTCTTTGGGCCAAGCAGGCATGGTGCCTCCCGCCAGTCATCCCAGCACTTTGGGAGGCTGAGGCGGGAGGAAAGAAGGAAGGGAGGAAGGGAGGAAAGAAGAAAAGAAGAAAGGCAGGAAGGCAGGAAAGAAAGAGGGGAAGAGAGAAAAAGAAAAAGAAAGAAAGAAAGAAAGAAAGAAAGAAAGAAAAGAGAAGCAAAAAGAAGAAAAGAGAAGGGAAGAAAAGAAAAGCAAACGGGGAAGGGGCATATCTCCTTGACCGGTGACTGCCCAGGATACAGTGGGTCACGGCCGACCGAAGCCTCGACCTGTGGGGCCTCAAGTGATCTTCTCCTCGTCTCAGCCTCCCGAGTAGCCGCGACTACAGGCGGCCATCACCGCGCACAACTCATCTTATAATAACATCATGATTCTCTCGAGACGGGGTCTCGCTCCGTCATCCAGGCCGCATCGCCACGGCACGATCTCAGCTCATCGCAACCTCGGCCTCCCCGGTTGGAACAAGTCGCCCGCCCCAGTCTCCCGAGCGGTCGTGATTCCAAGCCCACGCCACCAGGCCCGGCTAATCGTTCTATTTTTCAGAGAGACGGGGTTTCGCCACGTCGGCCAGCCTGGTCTCGAACTCCCGGCCCCAAGCGATCCACCCGCCTCGGCCTCCCAAAGTGCCGGAGTGACAGGCGTGAGCTAGCGTGCCCGGCCCAGATCATCTTTTTCATCAATTGTAGAGAAGGGGTTTCGTCAGCCAACGGGTGGAGGGTGGGGCGGGTTTTACTCAGCCTGCGTACTGTGAAAAGGGGAAGTGAGTGTGCTCTGTGAACTAGATATGGAAATTGTGTGTGTGTGTGCGCGCGTGCGCGTGCGAGAGAGAGAGAGAGAGAGAGAGAGAGAGAGACCAATCCCACCACGAGGACCCGGAAATAGTGTTTGATCTGTGTCCCTGCCTAGTCACCTGTCTTGTGTGTCGATGACTGAGGATTCCACAAATGAAGGTCAGCGGTATCTATTGAGCTGTTTCTCCCTCTCGTGCGTCTCATCTGTGTGCTGGAGAAAGGGAAGAGAAGAGGTTCCGATGGGAAGTTGTCTTCACGCCTGAGGCAGCTGAAGGCAGACCGAAGGGAAGGAGGGCATCCTAGGTGACATTTCCATACCCACGCACCCTTTACAATGCTGGGGCTGCCAGTCCACCCTGTACGTCAACCCACCCCCAAGAACAGCACGGTCCGGGGTGGTCCAGTCTGATCCCAACCGGCCCACCCGGGGCATCCGGTGGAAGTCTTCGCCGGAGGATCCGAAGGCAGCATCAACGCGGTTCCCCTGGGGTCGCCCGGCAAAGGCCAGCCGGGGGAGGGTAGCGGGACGTGACGGGGGGGTGGGGGTCGCATCCGCCTCAGAGCTCCCTGGAAGGTGGCAGGTAGCCGGTGGGGCACGCCGAGCCAGAGACGTCCGGCAGGATATAGATCTGGAAGGCGTGTCAGTCCTCTCCCATACCTCTCCTATGGAAAATGCCAGGGCGGCGGTGGGAGCCTCGGCTGGGGGAGAAGCGGGGACAAGGGGGAGAGGGAAGGAGGCCCTCGGGAGGTTTCGGCACCGAAAACCCACTCAGCCAAGCTCCCTCCGTGTTTCCGGGTCCAAGGTACACCCCGGGAGACGGCAAGAGAAACGTTCACACCGTGCTTTCCGTCTTCGTGTTTATTTCTTTCATCTTTTCCATTTTACGAGAGATGCTCATTTCAACAACCAGACGGCGGATGTGACGGGAGAAGCGTCAAGGCCAGGAGTTTGAGACCAGCGTGAGCAACAGAGCAACACACGTAGGAGAGCCCAGCTGAAAGAAATGAAAGAGGAGGAGGAGGAGGAGGAGGAGGAGGAGGAGGAGGAGGAGGAGGAGGACGACGACAAGGGGGGGTGGGGGGGGAGGAGAAGGAAAGAAAAGAAAAGAAAAAAAAGAAAAAGGAAAACAACCACCACCAAGAAAGTTAAGATTCTCCAACGGTCGGAAGTTGAAGACCAGCCTGACCAAGATGGAGAAACCCCATCTGTAGTAAAAATAGAAAAATTAGCCGGGCACGATGGCTCATCTCTGTCATTCCAGCTACTCGGGAAGGCTGAGGCAGGAGAATCACTTGAACCTGGGAGGCGGAGGGTGCGGTGAGCCGAGAGCCGCCATCGTACTCCACCCTGGGCGACAAGAGTGAAACTCCGTCTAAAGAGAATAAAAAGAAAGAACGAAAAGGCGGATCGGTGAGATGCGTCTGGAAATTTTCTTCGTTCGCAGTCCCCGTATTAAAAACGGAAAGAACCGACCCACGACAAACACGACCAGAGCGTACCGTGCCCACGCGTGTCATCACAGCACTCCGGGAGGCCGATGCGGGAGGATCTCTGGAGCCTAAAAGTTCGAGATCACCTCGACACGTGAGATGACGCCTACAATAATAATAATCATAGAAGTTTGAAAAGAGACCACGTGTGCCCAGAGCATGGACAATAAAGCGAGAGCACATCCGTACTAAAAAGAAGACGATTGATAGGCAGGCAGGCAGGCAGGCAGGCAGGCAGGCAGGCAGGCAGGCAGGCAAATGTAGAAGGAGCCAGGCGCAGCGTCTCACGCCTGTAATAGCAGCAGTGTGGGCGGCCGAGGCAGGCAGGCGGATTGCTTGAGGACAGGAGTTCGAGACCAGCGTGGGCAACATGATAGAACCCCGAAACCCATCTCACTCACATACATACATACATACATAGATACACACACACACACACACACACACACACACACACACACACACACACACATACCTACCTACGGAAAACATGAGAAACAACATAAAAGTCAGCCGGTGTGGTGGTGCGCGCCTGTAGTCTCAGGTAATGGGGATGGGAGGGATCAGAGGCAGAACGACCGTTTGGTCGGTCCAAAGCGTTGAGGTTGGGGTGATCCTGGGCGGCAGAGACAGAGGAAGACCCTGCCAGTAAGGGAGGGAAGGAAGGAAGGAAGGAGGGAAGGAAGGAAGGAAGGAAGGAAGGAAGGAAGGAAATAAACAGGCAAGCAGGCAAGCAAACGATGAACGTGACAATGACACAGAAGAACCCATGAGAATAAACGAGCAAATAACAGGGTATGAATGAAGCTAAAAGGCAATTGAGATCGCAATCAATCGTTTTCTCTGCACCCCACCCCACCCCACCCCACCCCACCCCACCCCACCGCAGCCCACGTAAGCTGGAGTGGAAGTGTGCGATCACAGCCCACGTTAACCTCTCCCTCCCGGGCTTAAGAGATCCCTGTAGTCCCAGCTATTTGGGAGGCTGAGGTCACCAGAGCGCAGAGACAGAAGACCAGGCGGGCCGGCCCCAAAAGAAAAGAAAATAAATAAACGAAAATTATTAATAAATAATGAATGAAGGAAGGGAGGAAGGATATACATACACGTGTATGTAAATGAAATGGGGCTTCGATACATATTCATCCATTAAAAGTAACATAATATAAACGTATTAATTATGGAAATATCATTTACATAGTTTTATCACTACGGGGGGTGTGTGTGTGTGTGTGTGTGTGTGTGTGTGTGTGTGTGTGTGTGTGTGTATGTGTAGATGTATGTTCATACACGGCAGCGTTCAGAAAATAAGATTGAAAAAAGGAAGGAATCGGCCGGGCATGGTGGCTCACATCTGTACTCCCAGCAGTCTTTGGGAGGCCGAGGCGGGCGGATCACTAGGTCGGGAGTTCGAGACCAGCCCGGCCAAAATGGTGAAATTACGTCTTTACTCGAAATAGAAAACTTGCTGTTTGCTTGAACCGTGGAGGCAGAGGCAGCAGCAGCAGCGAGCCGAGAAGGCACCAAGGAGGGAGGGAGGGGAGAGAGACAGAGAGAGAGAGAGAGAGAGAGAAAGAAAGAAAGAAAGAAAGAAAGAAAGAAAGAAAGAAAGAAAGAAAGAAAACGCAAGGCAAAACCAAAAAGCAAAAAAGGAGGAAGCATTACTGGCTGACGGCAGCAGTGACTCCCTCTTAAAAGTCCCGCGGACGCAAACTCGCAGTGGGGCTGAAAAAAATGTAGGAGAGGGAGTTCCGCGTGGTCCCAGCTCCACCGCGGGCCGAGGCCGGTGGAGGTCGCCGGCGCGTGAACCGGAATCGACGCCCTCGCGTCAGTGCGCCGCAGCGTCCGGCGGCCGCCTGCTGGTCGACCCGGGACACGTGCAGACGCCAGCTAAGTCCGGAGCTCGCGGGCGGCAGCTGGTCGACCCCGGAGGTGCCGACCGAGACGGGGACGCGGCGGGTCCGGCTCGTCCCGACGGGCACTCTTACACGCCGCTCGGTGGAGAAGGCCCGCCGGTCGACCCGGGACACGGCGAGACAGCGGCTAAGTGTCAAGAGCCGAGAAGGCACCAAGGAAGGGGAGAGAGGGAGGGAGGGGGAGGGAGAGAGAGAGAGAGAGAGAGAGAGAGAGAGACAGAGAGAGACAGAGAGAAAGAGAGAGAGAGAGAGGGCGAGAGCGAGAGACAGAGAGAGAGAGAGAGAGAGAGAGAGAGAGAGAAAGAGAAAGAGAAAGAAAACGAGCGAGGGAGAGAGCGAGAGAGCGAGAGCGAGAAAGAAAGAAAGAAAGAAAGAAAGAAAGAAAGAAAGAAAGAAAGAAAGAAAGAAAAAAAAAAAAAAAAAAGGCAAGACAAAACCTAAAAGCAAAAAAGGAGGAAGCATTACTGGCTGACGGCAGCAGTGACTCCCTCTTAAAAGTCCCGCGGACGCAAACTCGCGGTGGGGCTGAAAAAAATGTGGGAGAGGGAGTTCCGCGTGGTCCCAGCTCCACGGCGGGCCGAGGCCGGTGGAGGTCGCGGGCGCGTGAACGGGAATCAGCGCCCTCGCGTCGGTGCGCCGCAGCGTCCGGCGGCCGCCTGCTGGTCGACCCGGGACACGTGCAGGCGCCGGCTAAGTCCGGAGCTCGCGGGCGGCAGCTGGTCGACCCCGGAGGTGCCGACCGAGACGGGGACGCTCCGGTTGCGGTTCGTCCCGACGGGCACTCCTACACGCCGCTCGGTGGAGAAGGCCCGCCGTTCGACCCGGGACACGGCGAGACGCCGGCTGAGTCCCACGCCCGCGGGCGGCAGGCGGTCGACCCCGGAGGCCCGACCGAGGAGAGGTCGCGAGCGGAGGTCGGCCGGGTGCGGGGACGCCCCGTGGGGCCTCGCCGCCCGCCGCCCACCACCCGCGGTCTGCTGGTCGACCCGTGCGGAGGAGCGAGGAGGAAGGACGCGCGAGGGCCGGGACCCCGGGTGGCCGCCCCACCGGGGCCCGCGCGGCCAACCCCCGGGACGGGGACCGGCGGGCCACGGGCCCGGCTCGGCGCGGCCGCCTCCGCGGCTCCCAAACCACGCTCCCCGGACCCCGTCCCGGCCCGGAGCGGACGAGCCGCCCCGGCGGTGAACGGGGAGGAGGCGGGAACCGAAGAAGCGGGGCGCGCCGACCGGGGTCGCGCGCCCTCCCCCCCACACCCCCACCACCACGCCCGCGGTCGGCGGGAGAGGCCGGGAGGGAGGAAGACGAACGGAAGGACGGACGGCGCCGGACGCGCACGCCCCGCCGGGCCCCCCGCACGCGCGCGCGCGCGCGCGCGCGGACAAACCCTTGTGTCGAGGGCTGACTTTCAATAGATCGCAGCGAGGGAGCTGCTCTGCTACGTACGAAACCCCGACCCAGAAGCAGGTCGTCTACGAATGGTTTAGCGCCAGGTTCCCCACGAACGTGCGGTGCGTGACGGGCGAGGGGGCGGCCGCCTCTCCGGCCGCGCCCCGTTTCCCAGGACGAAGGGCACTCCGCACCGGACCCCGGTCCCGGCGCGCGGCGGGGCACGCGCCCTCCCGCGCGCGCGGGGCGCGTGGAGGGGGGGGGCGGCCCGCCGGCGGGGACAGGCGGGGGACCGGCTATCCGAGGCCAACCGAGGCTCCGCGGCGCTGCCGTATCGTTCCGCCTGGGCGGGATTCTGACTTAGAGGCGTTCAGTCATAATCCCACAGATGGTAGCTTCGCCCCATTGGCTCCTCAGCCAAGCACATACACCAAATGTCTGAACCTGCGGTTCCTCTCGTACTGAGCAGGATTACCATGGCAACAACACATCATCAGTAGGGTAAAACTAACCTGTCTCACGACGGTCTAAACCCAGCTCACGTTCCCTATTAGTGGGTGAACAATCCAACGCTTGGTGAATTCTGCTTCACAATGATAGGAAGAGCCGACATCGAAGGATCAAAAAGCGACGTCGCTATGAACGCTTGGCCGCCACAAGCCAGTTATCCCTGTGGTAACTTTTCTGACACCTCCTGCTTAAAACCCAAAAGGTCAGAAGGATCGTGAGGCCCCGCTTTCACGGTCTGTATTCGTACTGAAAATCAAGATCAAGCGAGCTTTTGCCCTTCTGCTCCACGGGAGGTTTCTGTCCTCCCTGAGCTCGCCTTAGGACACCTGCGTTACCGTTTGACAGGTGTACCGCCCCAGTCAAACTCCCCACCTGGCACTGTCCCCGGAGCGGGTCGCGCCCGGCCGGCGCGCGGCCGGGCGCTTGGCGCCAGAAGCGAGAGCCCCTCGGGGCTCGCCCCCCCGCCTCACCGGGTCAGTGAAAAAACGATCAGAGTAGTGGTATTTCACCGGCGGCCCGCAGGGCCGGCGGACCCCGCCCCGGGCCCCTCGCGGGGACACCGGGGGGGCGCCGGGGGCCTCCCACTTATTCTACACCTCTCATGTCTCTTCACCGTGCCAGACTAGAGTCAAGCTCAACAGGGTCTTCTTTCCCCGCTGATTCCGCCAAGCCCGTTCCCTTGGCTGTGGTTTCGCTGGATAGTAGGTAGGGACAGTGGGAATCTCGTTCATCCATTCATGCGCGTCACTAATTAGATGACGAGGCATTTGGCTACCTTAAGAGAGTCATAGTTACTCCCGCCGTTTACCCGCGCTTCATTGAATTTCTTCACTTTGACATTCAGAGCACTGGGCAGAAATCACATCGCGTCAACACCCGCCGCGGGCCTTCGCGATGCTTTGTTTTAATTAAACAGTCGGATTCCCCTGGTCCGCACCAGTTCTAAGTCGGCTGCTAGGCGCCGGCCGAGGCGAGGCGCCGCGCGGAACCGCGGCCCCGGGGGCGGACCCGGCGGGGGGGACCGGCCCGCGGCCCCTCCGCCGCCTGCCGCCGCCGCCGCCGCGCGCCGAGGAGGAGGGGGGAACGGGGGGCGGACGGGGCCGGGGGGGTAGGGCGGGGGGACGAACCGCCCCGCCCCGCCGCCCGCCGACCGCCGCCGCCCGACCGCTCCCCGCCCCCAGCGGACGCGCGCGCGACGAGACGTGGGGTGGGGGGGGGGGCGCGCCGGCGCCCGCCGGGCTCCCCGGGGGCGGCCGCGACGCCCGCCGCAGCTGGGGCGATCCACGGGAAGGGCCCGGCTCGCGTCCAGAGTCGCCGCCGCCGCCGGCCCCCCGGGTGCCCGGGCCCCCCTCGCGGGGGACCGTGCCCCCGCCGCCGGGGCCCCGCGGCGGGCCGCCGCCGGCCCCTGCCGCCCCGACCCTTCTCCCCCCGCCGCCGCCCCCACGCGGCGCTCCCCCGGGGAGGGGGGAGGACGGGGAGCGGGGGAGAGAGAGAGAGAGAGGGCGCGGGGCGGGGAGGGAGCGAGCGGCGCGCGCGGGGTGGGGCGGGGGAGGGCCGCGAGGGGGGTGCCCCGGGCGTGGGGGGGGCGGCGGCGCCTCGTCCAGCCGCGGCGCGCGCCCAGCCCCGCTTCGCGCCCCAGCCCGACCGACCCAGCCCTTAGAGCCAATCCTTATCCCGAAGTTACGGATCCGGCTTGCCGACTTCCCTTACCTACATTGTTCCAACATGCCAGAGGCTGTTCACCTTGGAGACCTGCTGCGGATATGGGTACGGCCCGGCGCGAGATTTACACCCTCTCCCCCGGATTTTCAAGGGCCAGCGAGAGCTCACCGGACGCCGCCGGAACCGCGACGCTTTCCAAGGCACGGGCCCCTCTCTCGGGGCGAACCCATTCCAGGGCGCCCTGCCCTTCACAAAGAAAAGAGAACTCTCCCCGGGGCTCCCGCCGGCTTCTCCGGGATCGGTCGCGTTACCGCACTGGACGCCTCGCGGCGCCCATCTCCGCCACTCCGGATTCGGGGATCTGAACCCGACTCCCTTTCGATCGGCCGAGGGCAACGGAGGCCATCGCCCGTCCCTTCGGAACGGCGCTCGCCCATCTCTCAGGACCGACTGACCCATGTTCAACTGCTGTTCACATGGAACCCTTCTCCACTTCGGCCTTCAAAGTTCTCGTTTGAATATTTGCTACTACCACCAAGATCTGCACCTGCGGCGGCTCCACCCGGGCCCGCGCCCTAGGCTTCAAGGCTCACCGCAGCGGCCCTCCTACTCGTCGCGGCGTAGCGTCCGCGGGGCTCCGGGGGCGGGGAGCGGGGCGTGGGCGGGAGGAGGGGAGGAGGCGTGGGGGGGGGGGCGGGGGAAGGACCCCACACCCCCGCCGCCGCCGCCGCCGCCGCCCTCCGACGCACACCACACGCGCGCGCGCGCGCGCCGCCCCCGCCGCTCCCGTCCACTCTCGACTGCCGGCGACGGCCGGGTATGGGCCCGACGCTCCAGCGCCATCCATTTTCAGGGCTAGTTGATTCGGCAGGTGAGTTGTTACACACTCCTTAGCGGATTCCGACTTCCATGGCCACCGTCCTGCTGTCTATATCAACCAACACCTTTTCTGGGGTCTGATGAGCGTCGGCATCGGGCGCCTTAACCCGGCGTTCGGTTCATCCCGCAGCGCCAGTTCTGCTTACCAAAAGTGGCCCACTAGGCACTCGCATTCCACGCCCGGCTCCACGCCAGCGAGCCGGGCTTCTTACCCATTTAAAGTTTGAGAATAGGTTGAGATCGTTTCGGCCCCAAGACCTCTAATCATTCGCTTTACCGGATAAAACTGCGTGGCGGGGGTGCGTCGGGTCTGCGAGAGCGCCAGCTATCCTGAGGGAAACTTCGGAGGGAACCAGCTACTAGATGGTTCGATTAGTCTTTCGCCCCTATACCCAGGTCGGACGACCGATTTGCACGTCAGGACCGCTACGGACCTCCACCAGAGTTTCCTCTGGCTTCGCCCTGCCCAGGCATAGTTCACCATCTTTCGGGTCCTAACACGTGCGCTCGTGCTCCACCTCCCCGGCGCGGCGGGCGAGACGGGCCGGTGGTGCGCCCTCGGCGGACTGGAGAGGCCTCGGGATCCCACCTCGGCCGGCGAGCGCGCCGGCCTTCACCTTCATTGCGCCACGGCGGCTTTCGTGCGAGCCCCCGACTCGCGCACGTGTTAGACTCCTTGGTCCGTGTTTCAAGACGGGTCGGGTGGGTAGCCGACGTCGCCGCCGACCCCGTGCGCTCGCTCCGCCGTCCCCCTCTTCGGGGGACGCGCGCGTGGCCCCGAGAGAACCTCCCCCGGGCCCGACGGCGCGACCCGCCCGGGGCGCACTGGGGACAGTCCGCCCCGCCCCCCGACCCGCGCGCGGCACCCCCCCCGTCGCCGGGGCGGGGGCGCGGGGAGGAGGGGTGGGAGAGCGGTCGCGCCGTGGGAGGGGTGGCCCGGCCCCCCCACGAGGAGACGCCGGCGCGCCCCCGCGGGGGAGACCCCCCTCGCGGGGGATTCCCCGCGGGGGTGGGCGCCGGGAGGGGGGAGAGCGCGGCGACGGGTCTCGCTCCCTCGGCCCCGGGATTCGGCGAGTGCTGCTGCCGGGGGGGCTGTAACACTCGGGGGGGGTTTCGGTCCCGCCGCCGCCGCCGCCGCCGCCACCGCCGCCGCCGCCGCCGCCCCGACCCGCGCGCCCTCCCGAGGGAGGACGCGGGGCCGGGGGGCGGAGACGGGGGAGGAGGAGGACGGACGGACGGACGGACGGGGCCCCCCGAGCCACCTTCCCCGCCGGGCCTTCCCAGCCGTCCCGGAGCCGGTCGCGGCGCACCGCCGCGGTGGAAATGCGCCCGGCGGCGGCCGGTCGCCGGTCGGGGGACGGTCCCCCGCCGACCCCACCCCCGGCCCCGCCCGCCCACCCCCGCACCCGCCGGAGCCCGCCCCCTCCGGGGAGGAGGAGGAGGGGCGGCGGGGGAAGGGAGGGCGGGTGGAGGGGTCGGGAGGAACGGGGGGCGGGAAAGATCCGCCGGGCCGCCGACACGGCCGGACCCGCCGCCGGGTTGAATCCTCCGGGCGGACTGCGCGGACCCCACCCGTTTACCTCTTAACGGTTTCACGCCCTCTTGAACTCTCTCTTCAAAGTTCTTTTCAACTTTCCCTTACGGTACTTGTTGACTATCGGTCTCGTGCCGGTATTTAGCCTTAGATGGAGTTTACCACCCGCTTTGGGCTGCATTCCCAAGCAACCCGACTCCGGGAAGACCCGGGCCCGGCGCGCCGGGGGCCGCTACCGGCCTCACACCGTCCACGGGCTGGGCCTCGATCAGAAGGACTTGGGCCCCCCACGAGCGGCGCCGGGGAGCGGGTCTTCCGTACGCCACATGTCCCGCGCCCCGCCGCGGGGCGGGGATTCGGCGCTGGGCTCTTCCCTGTTCACTCGCCGTTACTGAGGGAATCCTGGTTAGTTTCTTCTCCTCCGCTGACTAATATGCTTAAATTCAGCGGGTCGCCACGTCTGATCTGAGGTCGCGTCTCGGAGGGGGACGGGCCGCTCGGCGGACGGACGGACGGAATCGCGCCGGCCCGACCGCCCGCCCGACGCTCCGTCGGGAGACGGGCCCGGCGAGGGGGAGAGGCGACGGGAGAGAGAGCGCGCGGCCGGCGGCACCCCCGCGCCGCCCCGCCGGAGCGGGACGACCGGAGGGAGGGGCACGGGCCGGGGGCGGGACGGGCGCCGCACGCCCCGACCCGTCTCCCCCGCGGAGGTCGGGGGGACGGGTCCGAGGACGCGGCGGCGGAGCCGCCCCGCCCCGACGCGGAAGCTCGGGACGGGGCCCCGGCGCGGCGCGGCGCGGCCGCGAGCCGGAGGCGGGCGCGCGACGGCGGACGACACCGCGGCGTCCCGCGGGTCGCCGCCGGGGACACGCGAACCCCGGCGCCGCGGCCACGGGCGCGGCCGGGCGGGCCGCGGGGCGGGCTCCCGGCCCCGGCCGACGCGCCGCGAGGCGAGCCGGGCGGGCGGGCGCGCGTACGCGCGGGGAGGGCGAGGAGGACGGGCGGGGCCTCGGAGGAGGGGCGGCGGGGAGGAGGAGGGGCGCGGGAGCGGCGGTCGGCCGGACGCCGGGCCGCCACCGGGGGCGGGCGGCGAACCGCGGCGACCGGGACGCGCTCCCCCGACCCTCTCTCCCCGCCGGCACCCTTCCCCTTCCGGACCCGCCTTCCTCCTCCCCCACCACCACACCGCACGCAACACGCCCCCACCGCCGACGACGCGCGACGACGACGACGACGACGGGCACGGGACCTTCCACCCGGCCGGGGCCGACGAACCCCGAACCCCGAGCCGCGCGCGGCGCGAGGGAGCCCCCCGAGGGAGGAACCCGGACCGCAGGCGGCGGCCACGGGAACTCGGCCCGAGCCGGCTCTCTCTTTCCCTCTCCGTCTTCGCGGGCGGCGGCGGCGCCGCCCTCCCCGTCTCTCTCAGCCGGGCGCGCCCCCCTCTCCCCCCCGCCACCCGACGCGTGACCACGCAGGGCCCGCGGGGGGAGGGGGAAGGGGCGGGCGCGGCGGCAAGAGGAGGGCGGACGCCGCCGGGTCTGCGCTTAGGGGGACGGAGGGCCCCCGGCGGGCCCTGCGAGGGAACCCCCAGCCGCGCACCCCGAGGAGCCCGGAGGCACCCCCGGGGGCGATTGATCGGCAAGCGACGCTCAGACAGGCGTAGCCCCGGGAGGAACCCGGGGCCGCAAGTGCGTTCGAAGTGTCGATGATCAATGTGTCCTGCAATTCACATTAATTCTCGCAGCTAGCTGCGTTCTTCATCGACGCACGAGCCGAGTGATCCACCGCTAAGAGTCGTACGAGGTCGATTTGGCGAGGGCGCTCCCGACGACGCACCGGGAGGAGGCCCTTCCTGGCGCGGCACGTCCCCCCCCCCCCCGCCCAAGAGGAGAGGGGGTTGCCTCAGGCCGGCCAGACGAGACAGCAAACGGGACCGGACTCCGGAGAGGGGTCGGAAGGTTTCACACCACGGGGAGGCGCGCGCCGCCCACGCGGGGGCGAGCGCGGACACCACCCCACAGGCGCCCGGGGGTTCCCGCCCCCACGGCGCGGGGCGCACGCCACACGCGCGGCAGGCGCGCGACGGCCGCCGGGTAAAGCCCCCACCCGACGGCCGCCGCGGCGGCGGCGGCGGCGCGGCCCCGGCCGGGGAGCGGAGTCCGCGGTGGAGGCGCGGGAGGGGCCGGGCCCCTCCCGACGGGACTCCCCCGCGGGCCCACCACCGCCCCCGACCCACGGGCGGACGGGCGATCCCCCCAAGGGGTCTTTAAACCTCCGCGCCGGAACGCGCTAGGTACCTGGACGGCGGGGGGGCGGACGAGGAGGCGGGGGAGGGGACCGGCGTCCGGCCCCCGACCCTCGAGACGCCCTAGCGGGAAGGCCGGGGAGAGCGAGCGGGGCCGTGCCCGGCGGCGCGGAGCGGCGCGGCGGAGGCGACGGGAATCCGGCCGGCCCCGAAGACGGGGAGCCGGCGCGGCGGGGCCGGACGACGGGCCCCGGCGGGGAGGAGGGCACCGAGACCCCCCCAGACCCGCCGCGACGCCGCCGAGAACCGCCCCCGCGCCCGCCGACACCCACGTCGTCGGGGCCGCGGCCGGGGACCGCTCCCCGCCGCCCGCCGGCCCCACGACACGCGCACACCAACGACACGCCCTTCTTTCTCTTTCTCTCTCTCTCTCTCTCTCCCCCGTCTCCCTCCCGAGTTCTCCGGCTCTCGCGGCCGGCGGGGCCGGGCGGCGAACGAACGAGCGAGCGAACGAACGGGCACGCGGGCCCCGCCCGCGCACGCGCCGCGTCGCGGTGGGGGGGTGGGTGTGCGGAGGGAAGCGCGCGGCGGCGGCGGCGCCGCCGCGGGCCTCGCCCTCCGGGCTCCGTTAATGATCCTTCCGCAGGTTCACCTACGGAAACCTTGTTACGACTTTTACTTCCTCTAGATAGTCAAGTTCGACCGTCTTCTCAGCGCTCCGCCAGGGCCGTGGGCCGACCCCGGCGGGGCCGATCCGAGGGCCTCACTAAACCATCCAATCGGTAGTAGCGACGGGCGGTGTGTACAAAGGGCAGGGACTTAATCAACGCAAGCTTATGACCCGCACTTACTGGGAATTCCTCGTTCATGGGGAATAATTGCAATCCCCGATCCCCATCACGAATGGGGTTCAACGGGTTACCCGCGCCTGCCGGCGTAGGGTAGGCACACGCTGAGCCAGTCAGTGTAGCGCGCGTGCAGCCCCGGACATCTAAGGGCATCACAGACCTGTTATTGCTCAATCTCGGGTGGCTGAACGCCACTTGTCCCTCTAAGAAGTTGGGGGACGCCGACCGCTCGGGGGTCGCGTAACTAGTTAGCATGCCAGAGTCTCGTTCGTTATCGGAATTAACCAGACAAATCGCTCCACCAACTAAGAACGGCCATGCACCACCACCCACGGAATCGAGAAAGAGCTATCAATCTGTCAATCCTGTCCGTGTCCGGGCCGGGTGAGGTTTCCCGTGTTGAGTCAAATTAAGCCGCAGGCTCCACTCCTGGTGGTGCCCTTCCGTCAATTCCTTTAAGTTTCAGCTTTGCAACCATACTCCCCCCGGAACCCAAAGACTTTGGTTTCCCGGAAGCTGCCCGGCGGGTCATGGGAATAACGCCGCCGCATCGCCGGTCGGCATCGTTTATGGTCGGAACTACGACGGTATCTGATCGTCTTCGAACCTCCGACTTTCGTTCTTGATTAATGAAAACATTCTTGGCAAATGCTTTCGCTCTGGTCCGTCTTGCGCCGGTCCAAGAATTTCACCTCTAGCGGCGCAATACGAATGCCCCCGGCCGTCCCTCTTAATCATGGCCTCAGTTCCGAAAACCAACAAAATAGAACCGCGGTCCTATTCCATTATTCCTAGCTGCGGTATCCAGGCGGCTCGGGCCTGCTTTGAACACTCTAATTTTTTCAAAGTAAACGCTTCGGGCCCCGCGGGACACTCAGCTAAGAGCATCGAGGGGGCGCCGAGAGGCAAGGGGCGGGGACGGGCGGTGGCTCGCCTCGCGGCGGACCGCCCGCCCGCTCCCAAGATCCAACTACGAGCTTTTTAACTGCAGCAACTTTAATATACGCTATTGGAGCTGGAATTACCGCGGCTGCTGGCACCAGACTTGCCCTCCAATGGATCCTCGTTAAAGGATTTAAAGTGGACTCATTCCAATTACAGGGCCTCGAAAGAGTCCTGTATTGTTATTTTTCGTCACTACCTCCCCGGGTCGGGAGTGGGTAATTTGCGCGCCTGCTGCCTTCCTTGGATGTGGTAGCCGTTTCTCAGGCTCCCTCTCCGGAATCGAACCCTGATTCCCCGTCACCCGTGGTCACCATGGTAGGCACGGCGACTACCATCGAAAGTTGATAGGGCAGACGTTCGAATGGGTCGTCGCCGCCACGGGGGGCGTGCGATCGGCCCGAGGTTATCTAGAGTCACCAAAGCCGCCGGCGCCCGCCCCCCGGCCGGGGCCGGAGAGGGGCTGACCGGGTTGGTTTTGATCTGATAAATGCACGCATCCCCCCCGCGAAGGGGGTCAGCGCCCGTCGGCATGTATTAGCTCTAGAATTACCACAGTTATCCAAGTAGGAGAGGAGCGAGCGACCAAAGGAACCATAACTGATTTAATGAGCCATTCGCAGTTTCACTGTACCGGCCGTGCGTACTCAGACATGCATGGCTTAATCTTTGAGACAAGCATATGCTACTGGCAGGATCAACCAGGTAGGTAAGGTAGAGCGCGGCGAGGCCCCGACGCGGCCGGACGGCCGGCCGGGGGGCCTCGCGAGGACGGGCCCGGCGCCCCGCAAGCGAGGAGGACGACGGACGGACGGACGGGCCGCGGACGGGCGGACGGGAGGGAGCGAGCGGGCGCGGGGGCGGCGGCCGGGACCGGTGGGGCCGGGGCGGGGCGCGGCGAACCGGACGCCCCAACCACCCGCCCCCCACGCGACACGACCACCGGGGCCCCGCGCCACAGACCCGCGACGCTTCTTCGTCGCGCCCGCCCGCGAGGAGGCGGACGGCCCGACCCGCGCCCGGCGGCCGGGAGGGACCGGCGGCCACGCGCGCGCGCGCGCGGCCGGCGCCCGCGGGCGGCGGCGAGGCGGGGACGGCGCTCCGCCCGCCCCGCGGGGCGGCCCCGACGTCCGGGCGGCGAGCGAGAGGCGGACCGCGGTGCCCGGCCCGGGGACAGTCGCGCCGTGCGGCCGCAGCGCCCGCGCACCGGTCCGGTCGAGGGCCCGGGGCCCGGCCGAAGCCCGGCTCCGAGCCCCGCCGGCGGGCGCGGGCGCAGGGGTGGCACACGCCACACGACGGCCAAGGGAGGGCCGACCGAGGCCGGCCGGCGCGCCCGCCCCCGCCCGGGACGGGGGACCGCGACCGGGGCCGAGGCCCCGGCCCGGGCCCCACCCCCCGACCCGGGGAAAGGGCGAGCGACCGGCAAGGCGGAGGTCGACCCACGCCACACGTCGCACGAACGCCTGTCCGGCAGGGACCACCGGGCCGCGCTCGGGCGCACGCGCGCGCCGAACGGGGCGACGCCACGCGGGGAGGACGGGCTCTCCCCGACGCCGACGCCCGGGACGGACGCCTCGGGGAAGGGCCGCGGCAGGCCCGGGAAGCGAGGCGCACCCGGGGGACGCGCCGACCCGGTTCGGAAGAGCGGGCCGGGAGAAGACGAGAGACCACGGGCGAGGCCGGGGCGACGGGGAAGGCGCGAGAAAGGCGGCCGGCGGGGAAGGGGACGCCACGGGGACCCCTCGAGCGCGGCCGACCGCGGCCGGGACACACGCGCGGGGCCTCACCGCCGCCGGCGGCACCGCGCGGCACCCGGGGCGGCCGACCGGCCCTCGGCGATCCCCGCGGCTGCCCCCACCACCGCCGCCGCAGTCGCGGCCGGTCCCCCGGAACCGTCTCCTCCCCCGCACGCGCCGCAGGCCGACCCCCGGAACCCTCCGGGAAGCCCACCGGGCCCCACGCGGGGCGCCACCGACCCGGTCCCCAAGGCGCGCGCCGGGGGACGCGGACGCCGGGCCGATCAGTGGCCGGCGGCGGCGCCCCACGAGGCGGTGCCGGGTTCGGTCCCAGGCGGGGCCACCAACGGACGTGAAGCCGGTGAGCCGCTCGGGGGGAAGAAGAGGATCGGCGGGCGGCGGGCGGGGAAGAGGGCACAGACGGGCGAGGGCCGGGGACCGCGAGGGCAAGGGCACCCGGGAGCCCGCAGAGGCGGCGGCTCGGGGAGAAACCTCAGGCACGGCCGGGCCACCAGGAAAACACGGCCGCGGGATCCCACCGCCACAGACACGAGGGCGGTCCCGCGGCGCCCCGCCTGGGACGCCGGACGGCCCTCGGCCCCCACCGAGAACCGCCTCGCGAGCCCCGGGGCCCCGCCACCGGGGGCCCCGGAGCGACCGCAGCCACGAACCCGACACGCCCGCACCACCGTCGCTCGTGATTCTCGTCCATCCTCCGACCCGGTCCCGCTCCGGGAGACCGGCGCGCCCCCACCGTGGGACGCTTTCCCAGGGCCAGGCGGGCCCGACCCCGTGCCACGCAAACGCGGTCGTCGGCACCGGTCACGACTCGGCACGGGAGCGGGCGGAGAGCCGACTCGCGGCGGAGGGGGTCACGCGCCGGACAGAGCGCCGGGCGCGCACACCCACCGCCCGCCGGCCGCCGCGTCCCAACCCGCTGGGAACGCCGGGCCCGGCCCGGCGGGATCCTCCCCCGACTCGGAAGGGGGAGGCGCGGGCCACAGTAGGCGACGAGCCGCACTCGGCCACCACCGCGGTGGCCGGCGGAACCCTCGCTTCTCCCCCCCAACCCCGTCGAGGGGGAAGCGGAGGAGGGTCCTCTGCGAGCGGGTCGCTACGGCAGCGCTACCATAACGGAGGCAGAGACAGAGGCGGCGGCCCGGGGGATCCGGTACCCCCAAGGCACGCCTCTCAGATCGCTAGAGAAGGCTTTTCTCACCGAGGGTGGGTCACACTCCCCCCACCCGCCAGCCGCTCCTCCTCGGGCCCGCAGAGGCGCCGAGGGACGCCTGGGGAAGGGAGGGGGCCCTGCGGTACGAGGAAACACCTGCGCGCGGCCACCTCGAGCGTTCGCGTTCAGGGCGGGGGCCCGGCCGGTGCGCGCGTGCGCGCAACCCCACCAGGCCCCCCCGTCCACCCACCTCCTTCCTTCCGAGGCAGAGCGCCTCCGAAGTCAACCCACACACGACCGGTCGGAGGCAGAACGGCAGCCCCTCGGCGGCCGGCCGGCGCACGCGTCACACCGGCCCGAACCCACCGCGATCGCTCACACGGCCCGCGCGCACCCGCCAGAGGGGAGCACGGGACGTGCGCTCACCGAGAGCAGGCGGGCGCCCTTCCCCGCGTGGGAGGGGCGCGTCTCGTCTCGTCTCACTCAAACCGCCTCGAACCCCACACCGACGAGCTCCCTCAGGACCCACGCGCGGACACCGCGGCGGCGACCGGAGGAGGGGGCGCCGGGGGCGGGAACGACACACCACCGTTCGGCCTCGGGCACCTGAGGGACAACCCGGAGCGCTCCAGGAGCACCGCAAGGGCCCAGGCGGAGCCGACGCTCGCGCAAACCCCCCGAGAGGGCAGCACGACGGGCCGGCGGGACGGCACCCCCACCGCCGCGGAGGGGGGCCGCCCGCAAGTCGACAACCACTGGAGGCGACAGCGAGGGCTGTCTGCCGCGTCAGAGGACCCCGCCGGCCCGCCCCGCGACGCAGAAGGCGGCGGGCGGGACGGCGAGGTCGGGCCGGGGTCCGCACCCCACGCCTTCCCACACGCACCGCCGGCGGGCGGGGAGAGGAGAGACGAGGGGACCCCCGCGGGGCGGAGCGAGAAGGACGGTCCCGTTCGCCACGAACGTCCGCCCCTCGCCCGTCGCGGCTCGGACCCGGCCCGGGAGAGCACGACGTCACCACATCGATCACGAAGAGCCCCCCGGGAGCGGAGGCCGGCCGGCCGGCCAGCGAGCCGATCGGCTCCGGCCAACCCCCCACTCCGGGGAAGGGGCGGCGGACAACCCCGCGGAGACGAGAACGCCTGACACGCACGGCACGGAGCCAGCGGGGTGGGGTTGTCGCGGCCGCCCCGGGCGCCCGCAGCGGAGAGCGCACGGGGGCACGGTGGCCCTCGCCGCCTTCCCCGCCGCCCCCGGGTGGGTCAGAGACCCGGACCCGGGCCGGCACCGGGAGTCGGGACGCTCGGACGCGCGAGAGAACAGCAGGCCCGCGGGCCCCGGCAGGCGGCTCAAGCAGGAGCGCGGCCGGCTAGCCGGGTCACCGGTAGGCCAGAGCCCCGCGCGCATCCGGAGGCCCAACCTCTCCAGCGACAGGTCGCCAGAGGACAGCGTGTCAGCAATAACCCGGCGGCCCAAAATGCCGACTCGGAGCGAAAGATATACCTCCCCCGGGGCCGGGAGGTCGCGTCACCGACCACGCCGCCGGCCCAGGCGACGCGCGACACGGACACCTGTCCCCAAAAACGCCACCATCGCAGCCACACACGGAGCGCCCGGGGCCCTCTGGTCAACCCCAGGACACACGCGGGAGCAGCGCCGGGCCGGGGACGCCCTCCCGGCCGCCCGTGCCACACGCAGGGGGCCGGCCCGTGTCTCCAGAGCGGGAGCCGGAAGCATTTTCGGCCGGCCCCTCCTACGACCGGGACACACGAGGGACCGAAGGCCGGCCAGGCGCGACCTCTCGGGCCGCACGCGCGCTCAGGGAGCGCTCTCCGACTCCGCACGGGGACTCGCCAGAAAGGATCGCGGCAGAGGGACCGCGGCCCGGCCCGGGGACCGCTCCCCGGCACCCGGGGGACGGGGGCGGGACGGTCCCCGGCTCCCCACGGGGACTCGGAAACGAATTCGGCCGCCGCCTCAGACGGCCAGGATGAGCGCGGACCCGCGACCGGGCCGGGAAGGGCGTCCCCAGCCTCCCGCGCCACGCGCGGCGGGTCCCCGCGGGTCGCGGCTCGGGCCTCGGGAGCTACGGCGCGCTGGTCGACCGGCCCGGGCAGCCCCACGCCCGCCGCGGGCCCAGAAGCGCAGCGACAGCCTCTCCCCCACATAAACCTGCACGCCAGAGCTGTGACTCACAAGCGACGCGCCACAGCTCTGGCGCCACCGGGCCAGCCGGGCTGACGACCGCGGGCTTTCCGGAGCTCTGCCTAGCTCACAGCGGGGACGGTCCCCTCCCTCGGCAGCTGCCACCGCAGCTCCGGAAGCCGAGAGCACGATCTCAAAGCGGCCGCCAGATGGAGCCCGACAACCGCCGCGGACGTCAGCGAGACAGATCCGGCTGGCAGGGCGGCCCGTGGACCGCGAAAGCGAAACCGTGAGTCGAGAAGCTCTTCCCGAGGCCGAAAACGCAGCCCCTCTGCCCCAACCCCACACAAACGGTGCCCAAAACGCGTCTCTGCCTCGACCGCGACAGAGTCAGAAGACAACCCACGGCGCGTGGGTGTTTGGAGATGCCTCTCGGAAGCAGGGAGGGAGGGAGGGAGGGAGGGAGGGAGGGAGGGAGAAAGAACACACAAGGACTCGGTCGCGGGTCGCTGCAGACACACGGAGAGGCAGAATGCGTAGGCTCTTCCGGAATCCACGCAGAGACAGACGGGGGGAGGGGAGTGGGGAAAAGAGACAGATGGCGAAAGGGAAGGAGGGAGGGAAGGGAGCAGGGAGGGAGGGAGGGAGGGAGGGAGGAAGAAAATGGAGAAAAGAGAGACAATTTAGAAAACGTAGATACACAAAGTAAACTTCTGAAACACTCCATTTTTTAAAAGACAGACGGGAAGGAAAGAAACACGAAAAAGAGAGAAAGAATGAGGAAAGAAACGAAGGAAAGAAGGGAAAAAGAAACAGAGAGGAAAGAAAAAAGAAGGAAACACAGGGAACGAAAGAGAAATAAAGCACGAAGGAAAAAAGGACAGAAAGAGAGAAAGAAGGAAAGGAAGAGAGGAAGAAAAACCTAAAGAAGGAGAGAAAGGAAGAAAGGAAGGAAGAAAAACACGAAGGAGAGGAAGAAAGAAAACAGAGATAACTACGTACGCTCGTTCATTTACACACATAAATACGACGCTTTTCATACGTAAAATAAACGTCTTTATCGACGATCCCTTCTTTATAGAGCGATGTGTATTTATTTGTATAACACAAACACCTACATCTATCATACAGAAGTCTATTTCCATACAACCGATACGTATTTACCATACGCAAGAGTATTCAATGCAGAGATACACGTTGTCGTTGTTTGCATATAAGCGTACAGAAACGTTTACATTAATACATATAAGTAAACGCGTGGAAACGAAAGAAATAAAAAAGCGAAATGAGTCAACAGGCCGGGCACGGTGGCTCACGCCCGTCATCCCAGCACTTCGAGAGGCCGAGGTGGGCGCATCACAGGAGGTCGGGAGTTGGAGACCAGCCTGAGCAACATGGAGAGACACGGCGTGCCTACTAAAAACACAAACATCAGCCAAGCCAGGCGTGGGGGTGCCTCCCTGTAATCCCCGCTAATCGGGAGGCTGAGGCAGGAGAAGCGCTCGAACCCGGGAGGCGGAAGGTGCGGTGAGCCAAGATCGCGCCATTGCACTCTAGCCGTGGAAACAAGAGTGAAACTCTGTCTCAAAAGGACGAAACAGAAAGAAAGAAAGAAAGAAAGAAAGAAAGAAAGAAAGAAAGATAGAAAGAAAGAAAGAAAGAAAGGAAAGAAAGAAAGAATGAATGAATGAAAGAAAAGAAAGCAAGAAAGAAAGAAAAAGAAAAGAAAGAAAGAAAAGAAAGCAAGAAAGAAAGCACGAAAGCAAGCAAGCAAGAAAGCAAGAAAACAAGGAAGCAAGAAAGCAAGCAAGAAAGAAACAAAAGAAAGAAAGCAAGAAAACAAGAAAGCACGAAAGCAAGCAAGCAAGAAAGCAAGAAAACAAGGAAGCAAGAAAGAAAGAAACAAAAGAAAGAAAGAAAACAAGAAAGCAAGAAAGCACGAAAGCAATCAAGCAAGAAAGCAAGCAGGAAAGAAACAAAAGAAAGAAAGAAAGCGAGAAAACAAGAAAGCACGAAAGCAAGCAAGCAAGAAAGCAAGCAAGAAAGAAAGAAAGAAAGAAAACAGGAAAGCAAGAAAGCACGAAAGCAAGCAAGCAAGCAAGAAAGCAAGCAAGAAAGAAACAAAAGAAAGAAAGAAAGAAAGAAAGAAAAAGAAAACAGGAAAGCAAGAAAGCACGAAAGCAAGCAAGCAAGCAAGAAAGCAAGCATGAAAGAAACGAAAGAAAGAAAGAAAGCAAGAAAACGGGAAAGCAAGAAAGCACGAAAGCAAGCAAGCGAGCGAGAGAGAGAGAGAGAGAGAGAGAGAGAGAGAGAGAGAGAGAGGCTGGGCGCGGTGGCTCACGCCTGTCATCCCAGCACTTTGGGAGGCTAAGGCAGGCGGACCACCTGAGGTTGGGAGTGGGAGACCAGCCTGACCAACATGGAAAAACACCGTCTCTACTAAAAGTACAAACATCAGCCAGGCACGGTGGCCCATGCCTGTAATCCCAGCTAATCAGGAGGCTGAGGCAGGAGAATCGCTTGAACCTGGGAGGCGGAGGGTGCGGTGAGCCGAGATCGCGCCATTGCCCTCTAGCCTGGGCAACAAGAGTGAAACTCTGTCTCAAAAAAAAAAGAAGAAGAAGAAGAAGAAGAAGAAGAAGAAGAAGAAGAAGAAGAAGAAGAAGAAGAAGAAGAAAAAGAGAAAGTAATAAAGAAAGAAAGAAAGAAAAGGCAAGGCCAGGCAAGTCCAGGCAAGGCAAATCTACCTGCTTTCACTACATCTGGGGAGAATCAGGAAAGTCCCCAACAACAACAAGGCCTAAAGTGGAGCTGCCATCTGTCAAACCCGAGCGGAAGAGTCCACGCGGGTTAAAGACACGAAGAAAGACAAGGAAACCCCTGACCAAGGAGAAGAACAATCGGGCCCAGCCAGGGTCTGTCTCCCGGGGTTGTCTGGGCAACCAGGGAGGGCGGGCCTCCGAGACTCCGTCTCGAAACATCAATCATGATAATAACATAAAATGAAGTTAAAAAAAGAAATCACGCATAATTCCTAACGTGTTTGAGGCCTCGAAAGGCGAGAGGCGTACGTGTATGTCACGGTGGGGTTGTTCTGTTTTGTTGTTTTTTTCTTTTTTCTTTTCTTCTTTTTCCCCAGAAACTCACTTTTTAATTATTTTGTTGCGTTTCATTTTCATTTTCATTTTGCCTTCAAGTCCAGCGTCGCAAGCATGGCAATACCCCTTCTCTACTAATGTTCAAAAATTAGCAGGGCATTATGGCGCGTGACTGTAATCCCGGCCACTCAGGAGGATGAGACTGGAGAATCGCTTCAACCCGGGAGATATTTGCTGCAGTGAACCCAGTGCACCACTGCATTCCAGCCTGGGTGGCTGAGCGAGAGTCCGTCTTAAAAAAAAAAAAAAAGACACAAGAAAGAACAGACCAAAATACTCCATTGTTTCAGAACATTTCCCCAGAAGACCCCAAACACCCTGAGTCAGGTCAAGGAGGTGGTGCTTTATTTTACTTGTCTCTCTCTCTTTCTCTCTCTCTCTCTTTCTTCCCTAACTGTTATTTGTTTTTGAAGCATACATGTGCAAGATTGTTTCATAGGTAAACTTCTGAGTAGGGGGTTCAGTGTGCCGATGATTTCCTCACCCGGATTCTCAGCGCAGTCCCCTACAGTTTTTGTGTTCTGCTCGTTTTGCTTTGTCCTGAAGCTGTCTGTCCTTCCACACGTCCTCCCTCAGGTAGGCTCCTGCGTCTCTCGTCCCCCTAGTTCTTCGCATGCATTCTCATTATGCAGTTCCCACTTATGTGTGAGAACACGCGGTATTTAGATGATTATTGTTTCATCTTCGGTGGTGGTGATGAAAGAGGCATGACACTACATCGACCCTTAGGACGCTCCCCTCCATCCCCACCCTACACCCCCTCCCCACGCACACCGTCTTTCCTGCACCCCCTCCTGAAACCCAACAAACGAAGAAAGACAGAAATTAAAGTAAGAGTTCAGCCACCAAGGCGGTGGTGGGGGGGAATCTCAAACGGTGAGCAGGCGATGGGAGTCTGGGGATGTCATGGCCTAGGTAGCAACAATAGGGGACCGACTTTCCAGCCCCCCCCCCCCACACTCCCTAATCCTCAGCCATCACTTTGGAGTTCATCCAAGGAAGGCTGGTCTCAGGGACTACATACCTAACCTCTCTGGGCTTCTATAGGATAAGATGTTATGGCCAGACGCGGAGCTCACGCCTTTAATCTCAGCACTTTGGGTGGTCAAGTTGGGTGGTACGCCTCAGGTTGGGTGTTCTAGACCAGCCTGACCATTATGGAGCTACCTTGTCTCTATGAAAAAAAAAAAAATTAGCCAGGCCTGGAGGTGTTTGCCTGTGGTTTCAGCTACTCGAAAGGGTGAAGACTGGAAAATCTCTTGAACACAGGCGGCAGAGGTTGCGGTGAGCTGAGGTCGCGCCACTGAACTCCAGCCTGGGCAATAAGAGCGAAACTCCACCTGAAAGACAAAAAAAAAAAAAAAAAAATGAAAAGGAAAGAAGATTTTATGAAGTATAGTTTATATCAATCGGCTCTCACTGTACCTTGAGAGATTCCGAAAATCGCTACTTAATGACCGAAGAAAACACCAGCTAACAGGTTTTGGGGAAAATACACATCTTCCTAAAATTGGTAAAATCTACTTCAACTGAAAAGAGATAAGTAAAGTAAAAACTACAAACAAAACAAAACGTAAAAACAAACACAGACCAAGGCATCGCTTGTGGAAATATTATGTAAGCAAATTGTCACTTTTTAGAAAGCATTTCTATGTTGGGCAAATACCAGTAAGGCCCAGGGAAGATCTGTGAAATGTGGCAGCATGCACCATTTTAAGGGCTGAAATCCATCTGTGTGTCTCCTTTCATCACAACTCTTTTTTTTGGGCGGGGGGATACCTGGAGTTCATGAGTTCAAGAGCAGTCTGGGCAATATAGCAAAATTCTGACTACTAAAAAGGCAAACGTTAGCTGGGTATGGTGTCGCACAGAACTATGTTCCAAGAGGAAGCATCACAAATACCCATGGTCCGCAGTCAAGAAATGAACTGAGTTTACAAGTTTGTAGTGTCATTGCTGCCTCGAAAGGTGAGATGCATATGTTTGTGTCACTGCGGGTTTCTATTTCTTCTTGGAAACTCACTTATTTTTAATTACTTTTTTTTTTTTTAGATGGAATCTGACTCTGTCACCCAAGCTGGAGTCCAGTGGCATGATCTGGGCTGACTGCAATCTCCATCTCCCGGCTTCAACAGATTCTACTACCTCAGCATATAGAGTAGCTGGGAGTAGAGGTGCGTGACACCACACCTGGTTAATTTTTGTATTCTTCATACAGACAGAGTTTGACTATGTTGGCCAGGCTGGTCTCAAACTCCTGACCTCGTAATCCTCCCACATCCGCCTAGCAAACTGCTGAGATGAGAGGAGTGACCCACTGCACCCAGCCTACTGGTTTATTTTTAAAAATAGCAATTTGGGTCGGGCGCAGTGTGTCTCGCCTTTCTATATCAACCAACATTCTTTCTCGAGTCTGATGACCTGGGATCTCCCAGCACTTTGGGAGGACGAGGCCACAGGATTCCTGGAAGTTGGAGTTCAAGACCAGCCTGGGCAACATGGGAAAACCCTGTCTTTACTAAAAAGGTAAAAGTTAGCTGGGTATGGTGGCACGTGCCTGTTATCCCAGCTACTCGAGAGGCTAAGGCAAGAGAATCGCTGGAACCTGGGAGGCGGAGGTTGCAGTGGCCCGATACTGCGCCATGGCCTGACCAACAGAACAAGACTCCATCTCAAATAAATTAATAAATACGTTAGTTAATCGAAAAGTTTAAAAAGAAAACTTCAAGGACGTTGCAGGAATGCACGGGAATGCTTCTCTCATTCCTAAAGATCAGAGCAGAAACACAGCACCATCAGGTTGAGATACAGGCCATTGTGAATCTCTTCTCACTGTGCTCAACTGACACCAAAGAAGGGCAGGTTTCCATGCCGCCCGTTCATCATCACCGCTCTCGTCAAGTATAATTGCAGAGTCATGACTACACAGAGATCTCTCAACCCACCAACTGCGTCCTTACTTGTATGAGTGCAGTTGAAAGAATAAACAGGGCATTTAGCGAAGTAATCATCATATGTTCTTTTGTCTCTCGTGTCTCTCATGAAACCAATCAGATTCGTGGACCACTTTTTCCCCACCCTTCGAACATCCACAGAGCACCAAAATAAAAGAGCAGTGAATGCCTTTTACGCGACAAGGAGGAAAAACAACAAAGTGAAAGTCACAGAGGCTTGTGATACACAGGGAGATACAGAATAAGGAGAATTTTCCAAAATCCACACAAAGACAGACAGACAGAGGGATGGAAAGAAAGAAATGAAGAAAAGAGAGAGTAAGGAAGATCAAGAAAAAGAAAATAGACAGACAGAGATGTAAAGGGAAGAAAGATGAAAAAGAAAACCAAAAGACATAGAAACAGAAAAAAAAAGAATGAGAAATGAGAGAAAAAAGGGAGGAAGAAAAAGAGAGAAGAAAAAGAAAAGACAGAAAGAAAGAGAAAGAAAAAAAGAGAAAAAATGAAGGAAATAAAAAAGAGGGCAGGGCATTGTGGCTCACACCTATAATCCCAGCACTTTGGGAGGCTGAGTTGGAAGAATTGCTAGAGCCTAGGACTTTGAGACCAGCCCTGGCAACACAGTGAGACCCCGTCTCTACTGAAAAAGAAAAGAAAAGAAAAAAATCCGGGCATTGTGATGGCAGGCGCCTGTGGTCCCAGATCCTTTGGAGCCTGAGTTGAGAACATCGCTTGGGGTCGGGAGGTGGAGGCTGCAGCGGGTCTTGGTCAGACAAATGCTCTGCAGTCTGTTTCCGAGGCTGTCTTGAACTCCCGAGCTCTAGCGAACTGCCCTCCTCAGCCTCCGAAATTGCAGCCGCCACAACCAACGGTCCTGAAGGTGTCATTGACAGATTTTAGTAAACAGGGTGTTTCGCCATATTGCGAATTTGAACCCAGGCATTTGAAGCTGCAGTGACCCAAAGTCGCGCCACTGCACTGCACTCTGGGTGATAGAGGAAGACTCCATCTCTAAATAATTACATAAATAATAAAAACAATAACAATAATGACAAACAATAATACAAAGAAATAATAAGCAGCAATAATAATAAACTCGTGGGAGTGAAAAACTATAAAAGGTAATTTAGATCACAATTAATTGCAGTTTATTTCAAGGAATTTTTTTCTTTAACCTGTCTCTCTTACCTTCTGAAACACTCAGACTGGAGGGCAAGGCATCATCACGGCTCACTTCAGCTTCGACATCACAGAATTAAGTGATTCCTGTAGTCTCAGCCACTTGGAAGGCTGAGATAGGAAGATCACCTGAGGGAGTCCTGGAAAGTCGAGGCGGCTGTAAGCCGAGATTGCATTCTTACACTCCAACCTGCCTCAAAAACTACAAATAAATAAAAGGTAAATGTAAAACAACAGCAACTTCAGTGTGTAGAAAGAGGAGCAAGAAAAATAAAAGAAAAACAAAACGAAGAGAAACTGAAAGTACTGTGGAAACAGTTGGAGAGGAAGAAACAACGCAAGGAAAAAGCGACACCTAGTGAATGCGGGCGGTACTGCTGCTGACCAAAGTTATCTGGTCTACCTTAGAAATCCCAAGTTGACGGTCAAGTCCAACGCTTGCCGCGGACATCAGGTGGGCACGGCGACCAGAGACCTGAGGACTGGGGCCTTAGGCCCTGGTCCCAGGTCTTCCAGACAGAGAAGCCCGCGGCCGTGTCAACTGGATGTTGCTTGCTTCCCGCAGTCGGCTGATTCGCGGGCTGATCGGGAAGCCAAACGCCAGCATCTAATCGACAGGGTCCACCCTAAAGACCAAATGTGGTGCTCGCGGAGGGAAGCGATCAGACGCAGTTGGAACCTTATCACACAGAACCGGCCCAGGTTTGAGGCCGTCTAACTTGGCAGACCTGCCAGCCATTTCCCCGCAGTCCGCTGGTTGACCCGGACAGAGAAGAGGAGTAAAGACACAAGGGTAGTGACTAGCTAGTCTTTCATCCCAGCACCCCTGAGGCGGGGAGAGGGACTGTGACCCCAACAGCCACCCACGGGCATCGCGCGAACACTACTCAGGCAGGGACTGCAGGGGCAAAACCTCTGACACCCGCGCCTCAGCCATTCGCACGAGGCTCGAAGAATCCGGTCCCAACTCGTGGAGGAATTCCCAGCGGGATGGGAGAAAGAAGCTCAATCAGAGAGGTGGAACATCGAGCAGGGGCGCCAACCCTACCTCGCAACCCCCAGCGCTGCATCTTGGAAAGCCTGCTGTTGGGGAACGACCCCTCCCAAATGCACGGCCGACGCCAATGTTATCTCGCGAGAGACAGCCCTGCATGCCCTGGGGCTCCGGGGCGGGGGGCCTGAGCAGGCCCGGGAACTAAGTCCCCGGGGGCAAAAGGAGGGAAGAAGGAAGGTAGAGGTCCAGGGCTGAATTATACAGGACACGCCACAACGCTAGCTTTCCCGCACACTGGTTGAGAGCCCCTTGTGTGGAGGGCTGACTTTCAATAGGTTGCAGTGAGGGAGTTGCTCTGCTCCATAGGAAACCCTGACCCAGAAGCAGGGCGTTTACCAATAGTTTAGTATCAGATTCCCCATGAGCATGTTATGTGACGGGCCAGGGAGCAAACGCCTTTCTGGCCGCACCCCGTTTTTTAGGATGGGGGGCCGCACCCCGTTTTTTAGGATGATAAGACCGGAGCAAGGTCTTGGCGCACAGCGGGGCGGAGCGTCCGGCCGGTGGCAAAGGCTGGGGACTGGCTATCTGAGGCCAACCGAGTCTTGCCAGCGCTGCTGCGTCCTTTCTTCTGGGCGGGATTCTGATTTAGAGGCGTTCAGTCATAATCCCACAGATGGTAGCTTCACCCCATTGGTTCCTCAGTCAAGCACATACACCAAATGTGTGAAACTTTGATTCCTCTCATACTCAGCAGGATTACCATGATAGCAACACATGGGCAACAACACATGGAGAACACACGCAGTAAAACTAACCTGTCTCACATGGGTCTAACCATGATGCTTTCCAGGGCATGCACTCCGCTTTTAGATGAATCCATTCCACTTTGCCTTGCCCTTCACAAAGAAAAGAGAACTCGCTGGCCACAGTGGCTCACGCCTGTAATCCCGGCACATTGAAAGGCTGAGGCTGACGGATCACCTGATGGCAGGAGTTCGAGTCCAGCGTGGCCAACATGGTTAAACCCTGTCTCTATGAAAATACAAAAATTAGCTGGGCATAATAACGGGTGCCTGTTAACCCAGCTCCTCGGTAGGCTGAGGCAGGAGAATCGCCTGAAACCAGGAAGCGGATGTTGCAGTGAGCCGAGATTGCTCCATTGGGCTCCATCCTGAGCCTCTAAGCGAGACTCCATCTCAAAAAAGAAAAAAAAAAAAAAAAAAAACGAGAACTCTCTCTAGGGCTCCCATCTGCTTTTGCAGAATCAGAGAATGTGATTGCCGGCAAAGGTTGAGGGGAGGGCGCAGGGGAAAGCAGGGGGAGGAGCAAAGGCTGGAGGCACAATAGCTCACTCTGGAACCTTTCCAAGTTTAGTGGGGACAATTTTGAAACTAGCTGACTCTGGAAATTACACATAATTCATAGTATTATTGCTTCTTTGAAAGGTGAGCGGTTCATGATTTTTTTTCTCAGCATTTATTCATTTACTTGTAATAAGTGCATTTAGTTTCATACAGTTTACATACAACCGGTTTGACTGTAGCTGCAGAGATTTAGGATAGTTTTTCTTAATGGTAAGCCCTAGGGTGGAGCTACAATGCACTTTCCGTTGTGAACCCTGAAAACTTGAGAGAGGTCTCAGTTAATTTAGAAAGTTTACGTAACCAAGGTTCAGGACGCATACCCGTGACAGCCTTAGGAGGTTCTGAGGACATGTGCCTAAGGTAAACAGAGAACATTATCGTTTTATACATTCTAGGGAGACATGAGACATCAATCAAAGTATGCAAGATGAACATTGGTTCGGTCTGCAAAGGCGGGACAAATTAGCAAACGCGGGAAGACTGAAAGTGAGGAGGGGACTTCCTGGTCAATGGTAGTTAAGAGACAAATGGTTGCATTCTTTGGAGTTTCTAATTAGCCTCTCCAAAGGAGGCAATCAAATATACATTTATCGCTTGAAACCAGGAGGCGAATGTTGCAGTGAGCCGAGATTGCTCCATTGGGCTCCAGCTTGAGCATCTGAGCGAGACTCCATCTCAAAAAAGAAAAAAAAAAAAGAGAAAAGAGCAGAGGAGTGACTTTGAATAGAATGGCAGGTTGGCCCTAAACAGTTGCCAGCTTGACTTTTCCCTTTACTTTAGTGATTTGGAAGCCTCAAGATTTATTTTTCTTTCACACACACAATTTTTAAAACCCAGGTAGAACTGTTCATGCTTACTAAAAAAAAAAAAAAAAAAAAAAAAAAAGGAAGAAAGAAAAACAAATGATAGCCTAGGCGCCCTGGCTTATTTCTGTAAACTCAGCACTTTAAGAGGCTGAGGTGGGTGGATCATCTGAAGTCAGGACTTCGAGAACAGACTGGCCAACATGGCGAAATGACGTCCCTACTAAAAATACAAAAATTTGCTGGGAGTAGAGGCAGGCACATGCAATACCAGCTAGTGGGGAGGCTGAGGCAGGAGAATCGCTTGAATCCAGGAGGCAGAGGTTGCAGTGAGCCGAGATGGCGCCATTGAACTTCAACCTGGGCTACAAGAGCGAAACTGTCTCTGTCTCTAAATAAATAAAGAAATAAGCATTCCCAGCCAGGGTGGAGGTTTCCTAGGCAACAAGGCATTGGGGGAGGGACGGAAGGAGTGCCTCTGAGGTCAGGGTGGGGCCCGAGAGAAACCAGTTTTCCCTGGCTGTGCGCGGGCGGCCAGAAGTTTTGGTGTGATGCCTCCATTTTCAATAACAGTGACCGCTAGGTGACGCCAAATGACAACCGAACGACGTTCCAGCCTGGAATGAGTGGGGTCACTGGTTTAGGGGTTGTCAAGGAAGGAGAAAGAGATGGAGGCCCATGGGGTCGCCGGTCTTCTGATCTCTCCTGGATTACGTTTCCGGGCCCGAGACACCCTCCCAGACAATCCCCGCAGCTCTTCAACCAGTGTCCCTGGGGAAAAGATGATCAGTTCTCAGGAAACATTCAGACAGGCAAGCACATGCGCTCACGTGAGCACATGACAAGTATACAACTTTATATGTGATAGTGAGCTTTCTTTTGCAAAATGTCTTCGTGATGCATTTCACTACATAGTATTGTTGAAAACATCAAATTATAGGAGTGAGCACAGTGGCTCAAGCCTGTAATCCCAGGACTTCTGAAGACCAAGGTGGGAGGCTGGATAGAGGACAGGAGTTTGAGACTAACCTGGGCAACACATCGAGAGAGATTACCACTACTTAAAAATATTGCCCAGCATTGTGGCACATGCCTATATTTCCAGCTACTCAGGAAGCTGAGGCAGGAGGATTGCTGAAGCCCAGGATTCAACGTTGCAGTGAGTGAGCTGTGAACAGGCGACCAGAGTTTTTTTGTTCTCTACAGCTTACATTTTCAATAACGGTTGCCGCTAGTTGTCGCCCAAAGACAACTAAAACACGTGTCATCCTGGAATACGTGGGATCCCTGATGGAGGGGTGGGTGAGGAAGTAGGAGGGGACGGAGGCACACGGGGTCGCCCATTTTCTCATGATTCCCGTTGGACTACTTTTCTGGGTGCAGAGCATCCTCCCAGAAAGTCCCCAAAACCATTCAACCAGAGCTCCTGAAAAAAACAGTCGAACTCTCTGCCCATCGGATCATCCGGAATTTCCATTTATCCATTGAGAAGAATACTCCATTGGAGTTTGGCGCAGGTTACGGTTACAGGCAGGGGCTGCCTCAGACAGAAGTCTAGTCTACAGAGTTTCACAGTAGACCCTAGGTTCAATCTCTCCCAAACTCAGAGTAGCAATATCTGTCACAGTAGAATGAAGTGCATGAAATGCGTGCTCCGAAGAAAGCGTGTTTCACACAGATGATTTGCACACTTATTCTTGTCCCTAGGCCAGTTGTTTCTTCCAAAATACCCATTACTCAATCGTTCACCCTCTCGTGAACCACTTAGGAATCTTGTTCTATGAATCCTGGAGCTTCAATATTTGACATCTTCAGAAGAACATGAATGCTATCCTAGCCTGGTAGCAATAAGGTACCATTTCTCAGAAAACACGCACCTATGCACACAAGCAAGCATGTATACACACATGCCCGCATCATATCTATACAATTTTACACTGTGATAGTGAGCTTTCTTTCCCTAGATAACTTCGTAATCGCTTTCGCTACATAGTATTGTTTAAAATATCAAATTATAGGTGCTGGGTGTGGAGGTTTGACTCTAGTCAAAGCACTTTGCAGGCAAAGCTGGGAGAATCGCTTGAGGTGGGGAGTGTGAGAACAGCCTGGAAAACATAGCAAAATCTAATCTCTACTAAAAATAAAACAAAATTAGCTAGGCGTTGTGGGGTGCACCTATAGTCTCAGCTACTTAAGAGGTTGAGGCAAGGATTGCTTAAGAACAGGAGTTTGAGATCCTATGATACTCACTCCTGCAACACTGCTGTGGCCCATGAATTGGCTACATGACCAATGACACGGAAGGAACATGATTACAAAATTCCTGGCAAAAAAAAAAAAAAAAGAAAGAAAAACTTTTGTGGATAAACCTCTCTCACTGGGTAAATTACATAAAGATATGTCTGTTCTATATGAATCCCTACTAAGGGGTAACCGTATCAGAGCAGGATTTTGATAATGATGTGGACAGAATGTCTTGTTCCGTGAGTATGGGTCATTCTTACTTCCCTGTCACCCCCATCATCACCCAATGGGCTTATAAACAAGGTGAACATAGTAGCAGAAATAGAAGCAACGCACGGGCTAAGCAACATGAACTTTGAATCCCAAAGGCCAGTCTGGCTACAGTCAATTCTGAACGTTTAATTTGACAGCAGCACAGATCTACACTGAGTCTTTGATATGACATCATTTCCAGGGTGATCCACCAGGCACCTGGTAGTAAATTTATTACGTTGAATAACTTTTATAATATAGGCGGCAACAGTTTGTACTCACTGGAGTAGGCTCTTACTATGGATACAAATTTGCTTTCCCTGGGTGGAATTCTGCCAAAACTACCCTCCATGGACTCACAGAATCCCTCATCCATCCCTATGATATTCCACTTAGCATTGCTCAGACCAAGAAACTCACTTCACAGCCAAAGTGTAGCAGTGTGCTCATCTTCACGGATGTCAGTGGACTTACCATGCTTTCCATTATCTGGAAGCAACTGGATTAATAGAATGATAGGTTTGTCAGCATTTCCAGCCACCCTAACACCTATATCTCCCTGTGCACCCTAAGGGACTCCACAGAATGGTGAATTAGATACATATATCCAAAGGAACTACATACATTTGTGTTCCCCCATCCAAACCTCCAATCGTATGTAGTTTAATATTTAAAGTTGCTGAAGTTAGCTGTAGACAAAGGACAAAAATTAGAAGTGCAGAGGGAATGGGTTCCTTCATGTGGGTAAAGGAGAGACTTACAAAACCTGCTTAATGTGGCTTTTTGCAGTCTTTTTGCTGCTCACAGCTGAACCACATGAACTTCTAGTGTTTTGGACTCATCCAAACCTCAACATTAGCTTTAAGAGCTCCTTGATTTTCCAGCAGGAGAAAAGTGAACATGCAAAGCTCTCAGGTTCATTGTTATAATCCTCTCAAGGATCAGTCTCATTAGCAGACAGCAGAGTCTTGATCTCTTGCTTCACCAAACTAACCACTTGGCCGAGAGAATTTGCTGTTGGTCCTGGGGGAACTTCTCATATCCCTTGCAAGCTCTTCAAGTATTTGTTCCTTTTCCCCTTTCAGAAAGTTGTGTTTATCTCAGCATGCCATAGTCATCTCCAAAATTAAATAATTGTGACGTATCTAAGATTTTATAGCATTTGTAAACAACATATTAACCTTCCATTTTCATCGATGCTGGTAGAAGGCATGAGACACTGAAGTATGAAAAAAAATACCTATTATTTACTGCTTACCTGGAGGCAAAAGCCTCATATTTGTATTAGTTCTCCTTGTCCATACTACGTTTTTTGAAGGATTTCAAAAGGTTCATATGGACTTTGTACATGGGGAAGATTTGTGTCATAGCTGAGCAGACTCAAGACTAAGAAACCTGAATCTTTTTAAAGTAGGTTACATGGAAGCCTGTCCAACCTTTGCGTCACAAAGAAAAATTGTCTTTATTATATTGATTGAGTAATTTATCTGCCATTCACCTGAAGAGAAAAACTACTACCCTTTTTCCAGGTTATTTGTGTACAAAAATCTTTGAAAAATAGCGTGGAACAGGACAGGTATGTGATATAATCCACAACAAAACAACAAACTCTAAGAGACTTGTGGAGAACTACATCTCAGTAGCATGCATCTTTCCCATTAAATGTTGCACTAAGCAATCCTGTGATAAAAGACAATCCATTGAAGACTTTCGACATGAAGATTAACCTCGGTTGCTTTGTGTTGTGGGATTGTTCAAGTGATTCTCCAGTGTCAGCCTCCAAAGTAGCTGGGAATACAGTCTCCCAAGACCACGCTCAGCTTATTTTTGTATTTTTAGTAGAGGCGGGGTTTTACCATATTGGCTAGACTGGTCTCGAACTCCTGATCTCAGGTGGTCCGCCTGCCTTGGCCTCACAAAGTGCTAGGAATATAGGCATGAGCCTCCGTGCCTGGCCCCAGAAATGAAAGTTCTAGTGCGCAGTAATGTAATTCTGACAGATAAATGACAGGTGAGAGTAAGTGAAAATCTAACACAATTTAACATTTTTACATATTTAGACATATTGAAATTGGTTAGCTTATTGGAAAAAGTTAAATGACTAGTAATATATACAGCATATTTATTCTGAATGAATTGCTAATCTAGATTTGAGACATGAAATAATTATTTTTACAACACAGAAACATAAACTGCATTTCCATATACAATTAACAATTTGACAGTAAATTAAGAAAACAATTGTTCGCAACAACATTAAAATAATATAATTCTTAGCAATAAATTTAATAAGGAGGTAAATATCTTGTACAATAAAAAATACAGGATCAGAATGTTTATGAAAAAAACTAAAAAGGACTTAAATAACTGGCAACAAATTCCATGTTCCTGAACCGGAAGATTTAATGAAGTTAAGATGACAATACCACTGCCCAAAGGAGTGTACAGATGTACTGTAATCCCAAGTTTTCATTTTTCCAACTTTTCTTCTGCAAAAAGAAAATAGCTCATTTAAAACTTCATGTGGAATTTGAACATCCTCTGAATGTACAGAATAATCTTGAAAAGAAGGACAAAATTAGGTGGCTCACAATTTTAAATTTGAAAACATAAAAAGCTACTATAATTATAACAGTTTGATAGTGGCATAAGAACAATTGTGGAGATCAAATAAATAAAATAGATACTCCAAAAAACCCTTTCATAAATTATTGTTTGTCTTTTTAAAAGTGTGCCTTAATCATTATGTAAAGACAGTTTGTTACACAAGAAATGCTGGGAAAACAAGTCCACATTTAAACCAGTAAAGTTGAATCTTTATCACATTCCAAGTAGAAAAATTAAATAAAAATTGATTAAAGATATAAAAACAAGTGTTAAACTTTAGTGGTTTCTAATAGTTGTTTTTATTTAACTGGGGACAGCACTAACATGAACAACTTTATACACACAAACTAGAAAACTTTAACGAAATAAATAGATTCCTAGATATACACACTCTCTCAAGATTAAGCCAGGAAGACAATGATTTCCTGAACAGACCAGTAAAAAACTCTGATATTAAATAGGTAATAAGTAGCTTGCCAATCAAAAAAAAAAGCCCTGGACTTTATGGACTTACAGCCAAATTCTACCAAATGTACAAAGAAGAGCTGGTACAATTCCTACAGAAACTATACCCAAAAATTGAGAAGGAGGGTCTTCTCCCCAACTCATTCTATGAGGACAGCATGATCTTGACACCAAAACAGGCAGAGACACAACAAAAACACAAAAAATTAGCCGGGCTTGGTAGCAGACACCTGTAGTCCCAGCTACTTGGGAGGCTGAAGCAGGAGAATGGCGTGAACTCAGGAGGCAGAGATTGCATTAAGCAGAGATCGCGCCAGTGCAATCCACTCCAGCCTGGGCAACAGAGGGAGACTCCGTCAAAAAAAAAAAAAAAAAAAGAAAGAAGGGAAAGAAAACTTCAGGCCAATATTCTTGACGAACATCAATACAAAAGTTCTCAACAAAATATTTGGGAGGCAAATCCAGCAGCACATCAAACAGGTAATCCGTCATGATCAAGTAGGCTTCCTCCTTAGGACGCAAGGTTGGTCCATCATGTGCAAATCAATAAATGTAATACATTACATAAACAGAACTAAAAACAAAAAAAAGATGATTATCTCAATAGACGCAGAAAATAATAAAAGCCGTCTATAAGAAACCCACAGCCAACAATGTGTTGAATGGGCAAAAGCCGGGAACATTATTTTTTAAAACCAGTAGAAGGCAAGAATGCCCTCTCTCGCCATTTCTATTCAACTTAGTATTGACAGTACTGACCAGAGCAATCAGGGTAGAGAAAGAAATCCGAAGAACATCCAAATAGGAAGAGAGAAAGCCAAACTATTTCTGTTTGCAGATAACATAATTCTCTATCTAGAAAACCCTGTAGTTTCATCTACAAAGCTTCTTTAGTTAACAAACAGCTTCAGCAAAGTTTCAAGATACTAAATCAATGTGCAAAGATCACTAACATTTTTCTACACCAACGATAGCCACACTGACAGCAAAATCAGAAAGGCCATCCCATTCACAATTGCCACTAAAATAATAAAATATCTGGAAATGCAGCTCACCAGGGAGGTGAAAGAGCTCTACAATGAGATTTACAAAACACTGCTCAAAGAAATCAGAGAAGATACAAACAAATGGAAAACCATCCCATGCTCACGGATAGGAAGATCCAATATCACTAAAATGGCTATACTTCACAAAGAAATTTACAGATTTAATACTATTTCCATCAAACTGCCAATGAAATTTTTTACGGAGCTAGAAAAAACTATTTGAAAACTCATATAGGCCGGGGGCTGTGGCTCACACCTGTAATCCCAGCACTCTGGGAGGCCAAGGGGTGTGGATCATGAGGTCAGGAGATCCAGACCGTCCTGGCCAACATGGCAAAACTCCTTCTCTACTAAAAATACAAAAAATAGCTGGGAGTAATGGCAGCGCTTGTAATCCCAGCTACTTGGGAGGCTGAGGCAGGAGAATCCCTTGAACATGTATATAATATATACGTATGTTATACATATATTTATTATACTTTAAGTTCTAGGGTACATGTGCACAACGTGCAGGTTTGTTACTTATGTATACATGTGCCATGTTGGTGAGCTGTACCCATTAACTCGTCATTTACATTAGGTATATCTCCAAATGCTATCCCTCCCCCCTCCCCCCCCAACAACATTCCCCAGTGGGTAATGTTACCCTTCCTGTGTCCAAGTGTTCTCATTGTTCAATTCCCACCTATAAGCGAGAACATGTGGTGTTTGTTTTTTTTTGTCCTTGTGATAGTTTGCTGAGAATTATCTTTTCCAGCTTCATCCATGTCCACACAAAGGACATGAACTCATCATTTTTTATGGCTGCATAGTATTCCATGGTGTATATGGGCCACATTTGCTTGATACAGTCTATCATTGTTGGACATTTCGGTTGGTTCCAAGTATTTGCATTGTGAGTAGTGCCACAATAAACATACGTGTGCATGTGCCTTTATAGCAGCACCTAACATGTCTTTTCTTATTTTCTTAGATTGTGAGTTTCTTTCAGACTAGGACTCTGCTGAGTCAGCTCTCTGTCCTCCCTGTACTCCTTATCACAGTGCTTGGCTATGACAGATGTTTAATAAATATTTGAGAAACACAGTAAATCCATATGAGTGACACAATGTTACGGAAAACTCTGGTCATTCAACAAATTCTATTCTCCCATTTATTAGGGACACAGCAGAATTACATTTCTTAGCCTCATTTGCATTAGATGTGGAAACGTGACCAGTTATTGTTAATGGTTGTAGAGTGAGATGGATGTGAGTCACATTAAGATGAGTCCATCAAGTCTTCTCGCATGCATTTCTTAAAGTACTTTATTTTCAGGGGACTGAACACAAACGGCAACCACGACTCATGGATGATGAAGACAAATAATGAAAGAACTTTGAGTTTCTGAATGACCACATGGAGAGGAGGCGCCTTTTCAATTTGGCCACCGAACAACTCTGTGATGTGTGCTAAAAAGTGCTGTTAATCTACTGCAAATTAGGGATGTGCTGGTATTTGACAATTCAGCATAATCTAAAACATGCACTTAAAAACCTATTCACTGAATTAATTTAAAAGGCATTTTTATAGTACACTTAAGATGACAAACGTTAAGGTGGTCTTGCAATTTTTACCCTTCCATTTTGACCGTACTATGTTATATTAGAGAACTTGAGCCACATAAATGATCAGTTTTTATTGCGTCTATTTGATTCTTCTCTCTTTTCTTCTTTACTAGTCTTGCTAGCAGTCTATCAATTTTGTTGATCGTTTCAAAAACCAGCTCCTGAATTCATTGATTTTTTGAAGGGTTTTTTATGTGTCTATTTCTTTCAATTCTGCTCTGATCTTAGTTATTTCTTGCCTTCTGCTAGCTTTTGAATGTGTTTGCTCTTGCTTCTCTAGTTCTTTTAATTGTGATGTTAGGGTGTCAATTTTAGATCTTCTCTGCTTTCTCTTGTGGGCCTTTAGTGCTATAAATTTCCCTCTACACGCTGCTTTGAATGTGTCCCATAGATTCTGGTATGTTGTGTCTTTGTTCTCGTTGCTTTCAAAGAACATCTTTATTTCTGCCTTCGTTTCGTTATGTACCCAGTAGTCATTCAGGAGCAGGTTGTTTGGTTTCCATGTAGTTGAGCGGTTTTGAGTGAGTTTCTTAATCCTGAGTTCTAGTTTTATTGCAGTGTGGTCTGAGAGAGAGGTTTTTATAATTTCTGTTCTTTTACAATTTGCTGAGGAGTGCTTTACTTCCAACTATGTGGTCAATTTTGGAATAAGTGCAGTGTGGTGCTGAGAAGAATGTATATTCTGTTGATTTGGGGTGGAGAGTTCTGTAGATGTCTATTAGGTCTGCTTGGTGCAGAGCTGAGTTCAATTCCTGGATATCCTTGTTAACTATCTGTCTCATTGATATGTCTAATGTTGACAGTGAGGTGTTAAAATCTCCCATTACTATTGTGTGGGAGTCTAAGTCTCTTTCTAGGTCTCTAAGGACTTGCTTTATGAATCTGTGTGCTCCTATATTGGGTGCATATATATTCAGGATAATTAGCTCTTCTTATTGCATTGATCCCTTTATCATTACGTAATGGACTTCTTTGTCTCTTTTGATCTTTATTGTTTTAAAGTCTGTTTTATCAGACACTAGGATTGTAGCCCCTGCCTTTTTCTGTTTTCCATTTGCTTGGTAGATCTTCCTCCATCCCTTTATTTTGAGCCTATGTGTGTCTCTGCACGTGAGATGCGTTTCCTGAATACAGAACACTGATGGGTCTTGACTCTTTATCCAATTTGCCAGTCTGTGTCTTTTAATTGGAGAATTTAGTCCATTTACTTTTAAGGTTAATATTGTTTTGTGTGCATTTGATCCTGTCATTATGATGTTAGCTGGTTATTTTGCTCGTTAGTTGATGCAGTTTCTTCCTAGCCTCGATGGTCTTTACAACTTGGCATGTTTTTGCAGTGGCTGGTACCGGTTGTTCCTTTACATGTTTAGTGCTTCCTTCAGGAGCTCTTTTAGGGCAGGCCTGGTGGTGACAAAATCTCTCATCGTTTGCCTGTATGTAAAGGATTTTATTTCTCCTTCACTTATGAAGCTTAGTTTGAATGAATATGAAATTCTGGATTGAAAATTCTTTTCTTTAAGAATGTTGAATATTGTCCCCCACTCTTCTGGCTTGTAGAGTTTCTGCCGAGAGATCAGCTGTTAGTCTGATGGGCTTCCCTTTGTGGGTAACCCGACCTTTCTCTCTGGCTGCCCTTAACATTTTTTCCTTCATTTCAACTTTGGTGAATCTGACAATTATGTGTCTTGGAGTTGCTCTTCTTGAGGATTATCTTTTTGGTGTTCTCTGTATTTCCTGAATTTGAATGTCACCCTCCCTTGCTAGATTGGGGAAGTTCTCATGGATAATATCCTTCAGAGTGTTTTCCAACTTGCTTCCATTCTCCTCATAACTTTCAGGTACACCAATCAGATGTAGATTTGGTCTTTTCACACAGTCCCATATTTCTTGGAGGTTTTGTTCATTTCTTTTTATTCTTTTCTCTCTAAACTTCTTTTCTCACTTCATTTCATTCATTTGATCTTCCATCACTGACACCCTTTCTTCCAGTTCATCGAATTGGCTACTGAGGCTTGTGCATTCATCACGTACTTCTCGTACATTGGTTTTCAGCTCCATGAGGTCCTTTACGAACTTCTCTGCATTGGTTATTCTAGTTAGCTATTCATCTAATTTTTTTAAAGGTTTTTCACTTCTTTGCCATGGGTTCGAACTTCCTCCTTTAGCTCGGAGTAGTTTGATCGTCTGAAGCCTTCTTCTCTCAACTCGTCAAAGTCATTCTCTGTCCAGCTTTGTTCCATTGCTGGTGAGGAGCTGTGCTCCTTTGGAGGTGGAGAGATACTCTGATTTTTAGAATTTTCCGTTTTTCTGCTCTGTTTTTTCCCCATCTTTGTAGTTTTCTCTCCTTTGGTCTTTGATGATTGTGATGTACAGATGGGATTTTGTTGTGGATGTACTTTCTGTTTGTTAGTTTTCCTTCTAACAGTCAGAACCCTCAGCTGCAGGTCTGTTGGAGTTTGCTGGAGGTCCACTCCAGACCCTGTTTGCCTGGGTATCAGCAGTGGAGGCTGCAGAACAGCGGATATTGGTGAAAAGCAAATATTGCTGCCTGATTGTTCCTCTGGAAATTTTGTCTCAGAGGAGTACCCGGCCGTGTGAGGTGTCAGTCTGCCCCTACTGGGGATGCTTCCCAGATAGGCTACTCGGGGGTCAGGGACCCACTTGAGGAGGCAGTCTGTCTGTTCTCAGATCTCCAGCTGCATGCTGGGATAACCACTACTCTTCAAAGCTGTCAGACAGGGACATTTAAGTCTGCAGAGGATTCTGCTGCCATTTGTTTGGCTATTCCCTGCCCCCAGAGGTGGAGTCTACAGAGTCAGGCAGGCCTCCTTGAGATGCAGTTGGCTCCACCCAGTTGGAGCTTCCTGGCTGCTTTGTTTACCTACTCAAGCCACGGCAATGGTGGGCGCCCCTCCCCCAGGCTTGTTGTTGCCTTGCAGTTTGATCTCAGACTGCTGTGCTAGCAATGATTGAGGCTCTGTGGGCGTAGGACCCTCTGAGCCATGTGCAGGATATAATCTCCTGGTGTGCCGTTTGCTAAGACCTTTGGAACAGTACAGTGTTAGGGTGGGAGTCACCCGATTTTCCAGGTGCAATCTGTCACCCCTTTCTTTGACTAGGAAAGGGTATTCCCTGACCCCTTGCACTTCCTGGGTGAGGCGATGCCTCACCATGCTTTGGCTCACATGGGGTGCGCTGCACCCACTGTCCTGCACCCACTTTCTGACACTCCCCAGTGAGATGAGCCCGGTAGCTCAGTTGGAAATGCAGAAATCACCTGTGTTCTGCATTGCCAATGCTGGGAGTTCTAGACTAAGGCTTTTCCTATTCGCCCATCTTGGCTCCACCCCCTCTCTAATTAAATTTTAATGTGAATAGTCTGAAATTATTTTTTCTATATCCTTCAGTTTTTTCATAATTTTTCTCTAACTTTTAGGTTCTATGTTTATGCCCCTTATATTTTCCAGAAATGTCTCTGAAGATTATTGCCCATTTTAAAGTTAAACTAATTTTTTATTTACTTTTCTGTTTATTCTGTATTCTGCTTATCAATCGCTTGTCAGCTGTGTAGTTTGCACATATTTCCTCTCATTTTCTTTCTTTTTTTTTGAGACAGTCTTGCTCTGTCACCCATGCTGGAGTGCAGTGGCATGATCTCAGCTCACTGTAACCTCCACCTCCTGGGTTCAAGAGATTCCCTGGCCTCAGCCTCCTGAGCAATTGGGTTTTCAGGAACCACGCCCGGCTAATTTTTGTATTTTTAGTAGACACAGTGTTTCACCATGTCAGCCAGGCTGGTCTAGAACTCCTGACCTCAGGTGATCCACCAGCCTCAGCCTCCCAAAATACTGAGTTTATAGGTGTGAGCCATTGTCCCCGGCCAATAGAATATTATTTATACAATGGAGTATTAGCTAGCCATAAAAATAAATACAGAACTGATATGTGCCACAACATGGATAAATAATGAAAACACGCTCAAAGAGAAAAGCCAAAGAAAAAAGGTCACATATTATATTATTATATTTCTATAAAGTGACTAGAATAGAAAACTAGAAATAGAAGCCGGGTGTGATGGCTCACGCCTGTAATACCAGCACTTTGGGTGGCCGAAGCAGGCAGATCACGACGTCATGAGATCGAGACCATGCTGGCTAACATGGTGAAACCCCGTCTCTACTAAAAATACAAAGAAAAATAGCTGGGCGTGCTGACAGGCATCTGTAGTCCCAGCTACCCTGGAGGCTGAGGCAGGAGAATGGCGTGAACCAGGGAGGTGGAGCTTGCAGCGAGCCGAGATCGTGCCACTGCACTCTAGCATGGGTGACAGAGTGAGACACCAAAAAAAAAAAAAAAAAAAAGGAAAGAAAGAAAGAGAGTACTAGAGATAGAAAGTCAATCAGTGGTTACCAAGGAAATTCGGTGGATGAATGATAAATTACTGCTTAATGGATATGGAGTTTTTTTGGTGAAAGGGTGATGAAACTATTTTGGAATTTGATAGGGGTGACAGTTGCATAGCATTGTAAATAAACTGAAAAGCACTGAATTTTACACTTTATATTAGTTAGTATGTAGAACTCTATATTGTGTAAATTTTAGCTGACTAAAACATTTTAACAAGCAAGGAAAAATAAACTGTAGGCTTTGTGTGGTGGCTCACACCTATAATCTCAGTTTTTTTCAGAGGCTGATGCAAGCAGATCACGAGGTGAAGAGATCGAGACCATCCTGGACAACATGGCGAAACCCCATCTCTACTAATAATACAAAAATTAGCCAGGCTTGGTGGCACGCCCTTATAGTCCCAGCTACTCAGGAGGCTGAGGCAGGAGAATCACTTGAACCTGGGAGGTGGAGGTTGCAGTGAATCACTTGAACCCGGGAGGTGGAGGTTGCAGTGAGCCGAGATCATGCCACTCCACTCCAGTCCCGTGAAAGAGCGAGAAGAGAGAGACTCTGATAAAGAAAGAAAGAAAGAAAGAAAGAAAGAAAGAAAGAAAGAAGAAAGAAAGAAAGAAAGAAAGAAGAAAGAAAAAAGAAAATAAGGAAAGAAAGAAAAGAAAGGGAGGGAGGAAGGAAGGAGAAAGAAAGAGAAAGAAAGAAAGAAAGAAAGAAAGAAAGAAAGAAAAGGAAGGAAGGAATGAAGGAAGAGGAAAGAAAGAAAGAAGAAAGAAAGAAACGGAAGGAAGGAATGAAGGAAGAAGAACAAAAGAAAGAGAAAGAAGAAAGAAAGGAAGAAAGAAAAGAAAGGAAGGAGAAAGAAAGAAAGAGAAAGAAAAAGAAGGAAAGAAAGAAAGAAGAAAGAAAGAAAAAGAAAGAAGAAAGAAAGAAGAAAGAAAGAAAGAAAGAAAGAAAGAAAGAAAGAAAGAAAGAAAAAAGAAATACTATGAAACAGGAGGGCAAATGAGGGAGCCCTGGAAAACGATTCTGTCTCCACTTTCAAAAAAGATCGCCCCCTCCAAAAAAAAGATCCCCAAAGCTCTGACGGAGAAGGTCTTCTCCTTGGATCCCAGAGCAGTGGTCTGAGGATCTGTCACATTCTACACCAGCCTGAGTGCTCAGTCCCGCACACCCCTAGGCCACTTTCTGCTCTGAAAGACCTTCGGAGGACACAGAGCAATTTTCAAAGTTCTGAGAGTACAGTGGTAATTGATAGACAGCAAGGTCAACTCACTTCTTTAAGCCTTTCAAATTTAGGGGTCACACAGTTCAATTATGTCAATTTGTACAGAGAAAAATTGAAGGTTTTCACTACTGTATTCCTCTCCATATTGGGTGTAGGGGGATTCCTTACCATTTTAATTATGCAGATTAATGAATGGAGAAAGTAAGGTTTTGTCCTTGGAAAGCTATCCTGGTGTTGGCTGCAGCCCAGTCAGATCCATGGAAGCCTTGAGCCTCTCAAGCCATCAGCCTATTGTCTTCCCCTGCCCATGTTATGGGTCCTGGGCATGTTACCAGAAGATGGGGTGCTTCTACCCCATGACAAAGCTGCCCCTATCCTCTATCTTTTTTCTTCTCATCACTCCATCAGCGTTAACTCCTCTTATGACCTTTAGCCTGAGAAGTCTGTGTGTGTATGCACAAACCTGTGGAAGTCTAATGATGCAGACATGAGTTTGCTTCATATGACGAGAAAATTGGCAAAAATCCCCAGGATCTCAGGGACTCATTCCCAAAACAAACCCCATGAGAGTGTTGAGCCCTGGCCTAGGAGGTCAGAATGCTCTTTTTTCCCTTGGACTCTGCCCACTTCATCATCTCTGGGCCAGTCCCTGCTTCTCTCCAGACCTCAGTTTTTCAGATATCCAATGAGATGTGAGATGTCAAAATGCTTAAGCCACAGCTCAACATGCATATGGTCTAACGTCCCTACCAACTAGGATTGGTGTAGCAAGGCTGTGATCAGGGTGTTCCCAGATCTTCCTCACTTGGGAAGAAATAGATGGGTTCTGCACTGGGCACATGGACCTTCTGTTCAAGAAGGGTCATACACACTTGATCTTTCAAGGCCCACAGACAATGTGTGCAAGTGAGCCCCACCTCCACCCCCCAACAGCTTCCCATGGAGCATAACAATATGTCCCCTGTCCTCTGAGTCTGGAAAGTAGTGACATCCTCACTTAACACATGGATTGATGGACCCTTTGTATAATTAAATCTTCCCCACTACTGCCTCCACCACTACGCAGATAGAAAAAAGTCTTAGGAAAGTGACATAACATCCAGAATTACACAGAGATTCCATGGCAAAGCTAGCACTTTAGTTAGGATTACATTTTCCTACATATAGAAGAAAACCCAGACCGGGTGCTGTAGTTCACGCCTGTTATCCCAACACATTGGGAGGTTGAGGCAGACGGATCACCAGAGGTCTGGAGTTTAAGACCAGCCTGACCAACATAGAGAAACCCAGTCTCTACCAAAAATACAAAATTTTCCAGGCGTAGTGGTGCATGCCTGTAATCCCTGCTTCTTGAGAGGCTGAGGCAGGAGAATCGCTTGAACCCGGGAGGTAGAGATTATGGTGAACCGAGATCGCGGCATTGCACTCCAGTCTGGGCAATAAGAGTGAAACTCCGTCTCAAAAAAATTAAAAAAGAAAACCCAATATAATAGTGCAGATAAGAGAGAGAATGCTTTCTTTCTCATAAATAAGGATGTTAGAGCTGGGCAGTCTGACTCTGAACTGTACACGAAGGTAGTCAAAAATAGTCTGTCATTTTGCTAAAATGTTTTTCTTTTTTGAACTTTGTTTTAAGTTCAGGGGTATGTGGGCAGGATGTGCAGGTTCTTTAAATATGGAAACATACGTCCCGAAGTTTGGTTGTGCAGATTGTTTTATCACCCAGGTATTAAGTCTACTAACTATTAGTTATTTTTTCTGATTCTCTCCCTCCTCTCACCCCCTACCTCCTGATAGGCCCTGGTGCGTGTTGCTCCCCTCCATGTTTCTGTGTGTTCTCATCATCTACCCTCCACTTATAAGTGAGAAAATGTGGTATTTGGTTTTCTGTTTCTGTTAGTTTTTTAAGGATAATGGCCTCCAGCTCCATCCATGTCCCTACAAAGGACATAATCTTGTGCTTTTTTATGGCTGCATAGTACTCCATGTTGTATATGAACTACGTTTTCTTCAACCAGTCTATTATTGATGAACATGTAGGCTGATTTGATGTCTTTGCTATTGTGAATAGGGCTGTGATGAACTTGTGCGTGCATGTATCTTTATAATAGAATGACTTATATTTGTTTGGGTATATACCCAGTAATGAGATTGCTAGGTCAAATGGTATTCTTTTCTTTAGGTCTTTGAAGAATCACCACACTGTCTTCCACAACGTTTGAACTCGACCAACAGGGTAAAAATGTTGCTTTTTCTCCACAACTTTGTCAGCATCTGTGATTTTTTGATTTTTTCATGGTAACCATTATACCTGGTATAAAATGATATCTCATTGTGGTTTGGATTTACATTTCTCTAATGGTCAGTGATGTTGAACTTCTGTTTCATACGCTTATTGGCTGCATGTATGTCTTCTTTCAAGAAGTGTTTCTGTGTGTCCTTTGGCCAATTTTTAATAAGGTTGTTTGTTTTTCTCGTGTAAATTTATGTTCCTTATGGATGCTAGAAATTAGATTATTGTCAGATGCACAGTTTGCAAAAATTTTCTCCCATTCTATACATTGTCTGTTTACTCTGTTGATAGTTTCTTTTGCTGTGCAAAAGCTCTTTAGTTTAGTTAGATCCCATTTGTCAATGTTCTCTTTGTTCTAATTGCTTTTGCGCCTTCATCATAAAATATTTGCCCATGCCTATGTCCTGAATGGTATTGCCTAGGTTGTCTTCCAAAGTTTTTATAGTCTTGGGTTTTACATTTAAACCATGTTGAGTTTATTGTTGTATATGATGTAAGGAATCTTTCTTTATTTTTTAAATTTAAATTGGGTTCTGAAGTACAAGTGCAGAATGTGTAGGTTTGTTACATTGGTATATGTGTGCCATGGTGGTTTACTGCACCTATCAGCCCGTTATCCAGGCTTCAAGTCCCACATGCATTAGCTAGTTATCCTAATGCTCTCCCTCCCTTCGACTCCCATTCCCTGACTAGCCCCAGTTGTGTTGTTTCCCTTCCAGTGTCCATGTGATCTTATTGTTCAACTCCCACTTATGAGTGAGAATATGCGGTGGTTAGTTTTCTGTTCCTGTGTTAGTTGCAGAGGATGATGGAGGAAGGGGTTCAGTTTCAATTTTTTGCACATGGCTAGGCAGTTATCCCAGCACCATTTATTGAGTACAGAGTCGTTTTTTCATTGCTTGTTTTTGTCAGGTTTGTCGAAGATCAGTTAGTTGTAGGTGTGCAGTCTTATTTCTGGGTCCTCTATTCTGTTTCATTGGTCTGTGTGTCTGTTCTTGTACCAGTACCATGCTGTTTTGGTTGCTGTAGCCCTGTAGCACAGTTTGAAGTTGGGTAGTGTGATGCCTCCAGCTTTGTTCTTTTTGTTTGGGGTTGTCTTGACTATTCAGGCCTTTGTTGGTTCCATATAAATTTTAAAATAGCTTTTCTAGTTTTGTGAAAAATGTCATTGGTAGTTTAACGGAAATACTATTAACTCTATAAATTTCTTTGTGGAGTGTGTCTACTTTAACAATATTAACTCTTTCTATCCCTAAGCATGAAATGTTTTTCTATTTGTTTATGTCATGTCTGATTTCTTTGAGAAGTGGTTTATAGTTCTCCTTGTAATGGCCTTTCACTTCTCTTGTTAGATACATTCCTTGGTATTTTATTCTTTTTGTGGTAACTGTGAATGAGTGTTCATTCACGATTTTGCTCTTGGCTTGACTGTTGTTGGTATATAAGGATTTAGTGCTAGTGATTTTTGCCCATTTATTTTGTATCTTGGGACTTTGTTAAAGATATTTATCAGCTTAAGAAGCTTTGGGGTTGAGACAATAGGGGTTTTCAAGATATAGAATCATGTCGTCTGACATCAGGTGCTGTTTAATTTCTTTTCTTTCAATTTGAATGCCTTTTTCTCTTACCTGATTGCTCTGCCCAGTACTTCCAATACTATCTGAAATAGGAGTCATGAGAGAGGGCATCCTTGTCTTGTGCCCGTTTTAAAAGGGAATGCTTTCAGCTTTTGCCCTTTCAGTATGATATTGGCTGTGGGTTTGTCATACATGGTTCTTATTATATTGAAGTATGTTTTTTTCAATAACTAGTTTATTGAGAGTTTTTACAAGAATGGATGTTGAATTTTATGGATGCAAAGATTTATCTGCATCTATTCAGACAATCATGTGGCTTTTGTCTTTAGTTCTGTTTATGTGATAAATCACGTATTGATTTGTGTACGTTGAATTAAAGTTGCATCCCACAGATGGAGCCTACTTGATTGTGGTGGATAAGCTTTCTGATGCGCTGCTGGATTTGGTTTGCCCCTATTTTGTTAAGAATGTTTGCATAAATGTTCATCAAAAATATTGGCATGAAGTTTTTTTTTTTCTTTTTTTATTTTATTATTATTATACTTTAAGTTTTAGGGTACATGTGCACAATGTGCAGGTTAGTTACATATGTACGCATGCACCATGCTTGTGTGCTGCACCCATTAACTCGTCATTTAGCATTAGGTATATCTCCCAATGCTATCCTTCTCCCCTCCCCCCTCATCACAACAGTCCCCAGAGTGTGATGTTCCCCTTCCTGTGTCCATGTGATCTCATTGTTCAATTCCCACATATGAGTGAGAACATGCGGTGTTTGGTTTTTTTGTTCTTGTGATAGTTTACTGAGAATGATGATTTCCAATTTAATCCGTGTCCCTACAAAGGACATGAACTCATCATTTTTTATGGCTGCATAGTATTCCATGGTGTATATGGGCCACATTTTCTTAATCCAGTCTATCATTGTTGGACATTTGGGTTGGTTCCAAGTCTTTGCTATTGTGAATAGTGCCGCAATAAACAAACGTGTGCATGTGTCTTTAAAGCAGCATGATTTATAGTCCTTTGTGTATATACCCAGAAATGGGATGGCTGGGTCAAATGGTATTTCTAGTTCTAGATCCCTGACGAATTGCCACACTGACTTCCACAATGGTTGAACTAGTTTACAGTCCCACCAACAGTGTAAAAGTGTTCCTATTTCTCCACATCTCCTCCAGCACCTGTTGTTTCCTGACTTTTTAATGATTGCCATTCTAACTGGTGTGAGATGGTATCTCATTGTGGTTTTGATTTGCATTTCTCTGATGGCCAGTGATGGTGAGCATTTTTTCATGTGTTTTTTGGGTGCATAAATGTCTTCTTTTGAGAAGCGTCTGTTCATGTCCTTCGCCCACTTTTTGATGGGGTTGTTTTCTTCTTGCAAATTTTTTGAAGTTTTGTTTTTTTTCTTGAGTGTCTGCCAGGTTTTGGTACCAGGATGATGTGGTCTCATAGAAAGAGTCGGGAAGAAAGCCCTCTGTTTCAGTTTTTTGAAATAATTTTAGTGGGAATTGTACCAGTTCTTCTTCATAAATGTCATAACCTTCAGCTTTTAATCTTTGTGTTTCTGATCTTTTTGTGGTTTGTAGGCTATTTATTACTGCCTGAATTTCAGAGCCTGTTGTTTGTCTTTTCAGGGATTCAATTTCTTCCTGGTTTATTCTTGAAGGGTGTATGTGTCCAGAAATTTATCCATTTCTACTGAATTTGTTATCTTACAGGCATAGAGGTGTTTATGATATTTTCTGATGGTTATTTTTATTTCTGTGGAGTCAGTGGTAACCCTTATTATTTCTGATTGTGTTCATTTTAATTTTTGATATTTTCTTCCTTATTAGTCTACTACTGGTGTATTTATATTATTGGTTTTTTCAAAGAAAAAGAAACAGCTCCTGAATTTGTTGATCTGTTGAATGGTTTCTCTTGTCCCTATCTCCATCATTTCAGGTCTGATTTTGGTTATTTCTTGTGTTCTGCTAGCTCTAGAACTTCTTTGCTCTTGTTCCTGTAGTTATTTTTGATGTGAAGTTGTAACTTGAGACATTTCTGGCATTTTAATGTGGGCATTTAATGCCATAAATTTTCATCTTAATACTGCCTTAGCTGTGTCCCAGAGATTCTGGTATGTTTTGTCTTTGTTCTCATTGGTTTCAAAGAACTCCTTGATATCTGCCTTAATTTCATTATTTACCCAAAAGTTATTCAGGAGCAGGTGATTCAATTTCCATTTAATTTTATGGTTTTCAGTAAATTATTTCATCGTGAGTTTTAATTTGATTGTGCTGTGATCTGAGCCACTGTTTATTATGATTTCAGTTCTTTTGCATTTGCTGAAGAGTGTTTTACTTCTGGCTAAGTGACCAATTTCAGAGAAAGTGTCATGTAGTGATGAGAAGAATGTATATTCTGCTGTTTTCATGTGGAGAGTTCTGTAAATATATATCATGTCCATTTGATCCAGAGCTAAGTTCAGGTCCTGAACACCTTTGTTAATTTTCTGTCTCAATAATCTTTCTAATACTGTCAGTGGGATGTTAAAGTCGGTCATTATTATTGTGTGGTGTTCTAAGTCTCTTTCAAGATATCTAGAAACTTGTTATATGAATCTGGGTACTCTTGTGTTGGGTGTATATATATTTAGAATAGTTAATTCTTGTTGAATTGAATTCTTTGCCATTATGTAATGACCCTCTTTGTTGTTGTTGTTGTTGTTGTTTTTAATCTGTGTTGGTTTAAAGTCTGTTTTGTTGGAAAGTAAGACTGCAACCCTTGCTTTTTTAGGTTTTCCACTTGCTTGGTGAAATTTCCTCCATCCCTTTATTTTTAGCCTATGTGTGTCCCCGCATGTGAGATGGGTGTCTTGAAGAGCATACCAATGGGTCTTGGTTTTTATACAATTGCCACCCTGTGTGTTTCAACTGGGGCATTTATCCCATTTACATTTAAGGTAAGTATTGTTATGCGTAGATTTTATCTTGTTATCTTGATGCTAGCTGGTTATTTTTATTTTTCAGACTTGTTTATGTGGTTGATTTATAGTGTCAATGGTCTGTGTACTTGAGTGTGTTTTTGTGGTGGCTGGTAATAATTTTCCCTTTCCAAATTGGTGCTTCCTTCAGGAGCTCTTGAAAAGCATGTCTGGTGTTCATGAATTAACTCGGAATTTGCTTGTCTGAAAGGGATGTTATTTCTCCCCAGATTAAGCTTAGTTTGGCCAGATATAAAATTCTGGCTTAAAGTTTATTTTCTTTAAGAACGTTAAATATTGGCCCCCAATCTCTTTTGGCTTGTAGGGTTCTCACTGACAGCTCTGCTCTTAGTCTGATCAACTTCTTTTTGTAGGTGACTTGGCTTTTCTCTGCGGCTGAGCTTTTTTTTCTTTTTTTTTCTTCCATTTCAAGTTTGGGGAATCTGACGTTTATGTGTCTTGGGTATGATTTTTTCTTGGAGTATCTTACTGAACTTCTCTCCATTTTCTGAATTGTTGGCCAGTGTAGCAAGGTTGGGGAAGTTCTCATTGATGATATCCTGAAATATGTTTTCCTGATTGGTTCCATTCTCCCCAGCTCTTTCAAGTACACCAATCAGTTGTAGATTTGGTCTCTTTACATAATCCCATATTTCTCAAAGGTTTTGTTTATTCCTTTCATTCTTTTTTTCTATTCTTCTCTGCATGTCTTCTTTCAGAAATACAAACTTCAAGCTCTGAGTTTCTTTCCTCATTAATACTTGTGATTGCATTATGAAATTTTTGTATTGTGTTTTACAGTGCTATCGGGTTGGTTAGGCTCCTCTCTATCCTGGCTAATTTGTTTGTCAGCTCCTGCAATATTATATTGTAATTTTTAGCTTTCTTGTATTGAGTTAGAGCATGCTCCTTTAGATCAGTGAAGTTCATTTTTATCCACATTCTGGGGTCTACTTCTGTTATTTCAGGGATCACAGCCTCACCCTTATTCTGAACTCTTGCTGGAGAAGTAGTGTGGTCATTTGGGAGAGGGAGAGCACCCTGATTTTTGAGTTTTTAGTATTCTTGTTGTGATTCTCACCTTTGTGTGCCTATCTATCTTTAATCTTTGAGGTTGCTGGCCTTTGAATGAGATTTTTGTTTGTTTCTCTTCCTTTTAACTGTTTGGCCATTTTGTGTGGGGCTGCTGTAGTTTGTTGGGCATCTGCTCCACTCTCTTGTCACCTCGGATTTTCCAGTATCTGGGGGTATCACCAGTGAAGGCTGTGAAACAAGAAAGATAGCAGCCCACTCCCTTCCCTGGGAGCTCCATCCCAGGGCGGGTGCAGACATGTTGAGGGCTCGAACACACCTGTAGGAGGTGACTGGAAACCCCAGTTGGTAGGTCTCACCCAGCTAGGAGGAATAGGATTGGGGACCCACTTAAGCCATCTAGCCCCACTTTCATAGATCAGCCATGCTGTGCGGGGTACCATTTCTGCCCTTCAGCAGATTGGGCTCTCCAAAGCCTGGAGGCTGAAACAGCAAAGTGGCTGAAACAGCAAAGATGGTGGCCAACCCCTCTCTCTAGGAACTCTGGCCCAGGAAGTTTTTAAACCTCTGCCAGCCAGACAACATCAGTGGGAGTTGCTGGAGGCCCTGGTTGGGAAGTTCCACCCAGAGATGCAGAGCATATTAGGTCCCACTTAAAGAAGCAATCTGATCACATTATGGCAGATCCACTGTGCTATGCTGGGGGATTCCTTCTTCCCAGGGATGGTTTGGACTCTCCTAAGCCCACTGATTGTTATGGCTGAGTTCTCCAAACAACAAATATGAAGACCCACTGCTCCCAATGTGCACTGCATCCAGGAATAAATCAAAACTCTGCCTGCCGGAGAATATGGAAGGGGCTGTCTGGAGGCTCTGGTAGGAGGCCCCACTCTGAGATGAAAAAGGTATCTGGGTCCCACTTCAAGAAGTAGTCCGGCCAAACTTTGGGAGGGCCAATGTGCCGTGCTAAGGGATTTCTTCCATCTGCCATGAGTTTTTTTTTTTTTTTAACTCTCCTAAACCTCCAGGCTGGAATGGCTGAGTCATCCAAACAGCAAATATAGCAGCCAGCCCCTGCCTCCAGGAACGTTGTTCCATCCCAGGTAATTGCAATGCTGTTGCTGGGGGCTGGATGGAATTCCAAGCCAGTAGGTCTTATCCTGTGAGGCGTCATGGAAGTGGGGCCCACTGATGCTGCTCAGGCCCATGGATTCAGCTTCCTTTCTAGGGGCATTTACGGAGATCCAACCTCCCACCTTGTCTGAGTTGCAGTCACCTTTGCCAGAGATCTCAGAGCCAAAGTATGTAAAGCTCCTGCGATTCTGTTTGTGTCTGAGCAGTTGTTCTGCCGGGAACACGCAGCTCTGTGTATCAGACCAAAGGCCCTGGTGGAATAAGTTTACGAGAAAATCTCCTGACCCGAGAGTTGCAAAGATCCATGGGAGAAGTGTGGTTTCTCAGGGTCACGTATTTGCTCACCACTTCCTTGGGCAGGGTAGGTTCCCTTTGGTCTGTGTTACTCCCGGGTGGGCGTTTGCCATGCCCTTCTTTTTCCCATGGGTTGAGCTGTTTCCTTCATTAGTCCCACTGCAAATATCTGGGTGTTTCAGTTGATGGTGCTGTATTTATTTTCCCTCTTTGTTTCTTTTCATGAAAGCCACACACCATAGCTACTTCTAGTCAGCCCTCTTGGCACACTTTGCTACAATATTTCAGTAGATGGTTTTTATCCTGTAGGCTGTCTCATGGTCCCATATGGCTGGCTGTAGGAGCACAAGCCTGCACCAGCAACCATGTCCATTTCAAAGGCTAAGAAGTAGGAAAGATGCAAGGTCAAAGTGGCTTGCACAGCTGCATCAGCTCCATCTGAGGAATCTCCCTGAAGTCCCATCAATACTTATGGTTACAACCAATTGTCTTGAATAGGGGTCAGAAACTATAACCTTTGTGTTTGTAAGTTGCTGTTTGAATAAAACTAAATTTCTAATTTTGTGTTTTGTTTTGTTTTGTTTTGTTTGATGGAGTCTCACTCTGTCACCAGGCTGGAGTGCAGTGGTGTGATTTTGGCTCACTGCAACCTCTGACTCTTGGGTTCAAGTGATTCTCCTGCCTCAGCCTTTCAAGTAGCTGGGATTACAGGTGTGCTTGCATCACCATGCCCAAAATGCTGGGATTACAGGCATGAACCACCACACCCAGCCCTGACTCTCTGTTTTTAAGAGTGAAAGCAAAATTAAAACTGTGGCAATGACAAGTGCTCTTTTTCTACACTAAATTCAAAGGTAAACAGAAGAAGATGGAGGTTTTCTCAGGTGAAGTGGGCACTCATTTTTCAAACAAAGCCTTTTTTGGTGATTATTTATTTTCAGATCAGATGGGAAAAAAATCTGGGTTCTTGTAAGCACTACCTTTATGACCAAATGTTAGTCAAGCTTAACTGAACCCTCTTTTTGACTAAGCCAACCTTGACTTCTTGCCCTGCTCCTGGTTTGAGAGGCTCACTTTCATAAATCCTGCTAATACTGTTTAGTAAAAATCCACATATCCCTTATGTCTACTAATATCGTGATTCCCTTTCTTTGATATTTAAGTCCTTAGCCAACCTGTAACCAGGCTTCTGCTATAAAAAGTTCCTCTTCCTCCTTTGGTATTTTATCAAATGTTTTTCAATAATTCTTATCCACTGATTTATTCTGCTTATTGACTATAAATTCTTCGTTGTCTGTGTTCAGAGTTATGATCAATTTCTGAACTGAACCCTATTACGATGGCCATAAAATCTACTACAATAGTATTAATGTCTTTCTTCCCAATTTTTAACAAACATCAGAAATTTTTATTTCACAGTTTCCTAACAGTATGTTTGAGTATAAAAACAGTTTTCAGTTTGCCCCCAAAAATGATGTGATCCACTGTGTAGATGTGTATGCCTGATCCTTGTGTCCAAAAAAGTATGTTTTTATTTAAATGGGGTGAGGGTGACAGATTATAGAGCCAATGTTTTCCTAAAATGCTGAGTCATAATTGAAACCATACAAATCAAGAATATAGAATGCTTGGACTCCAACATTTTTAACCCTGAGGATATTTTGATGTCCATAATTTATATTACTGTGAAAATAATGCACAAGAAAGAAAACTGATAGCTCTCCCTCTCCCTCTCCCTCTCCCTCTCCCTCACCCTCTCCGTCTCCCCACGCTCTCTCTCTCCCTCTCTTTCCACGGTCTCCCTCTGATGCCGAGCCGAAGCTGGATGGTACTGCTGCCATCTCGGCTCACTGCAACCTCCCTGCCTGATTCTCCTGCCTCAGCCTGCCGAGTGCCTGCGATTGCAGGCGCGCGCCGCCACGCCTGACTGGTTTTCGTATTTTTTTGGTGGAGACGGGGTTTCGCTGTGTTGGCCGGGCTGAGCTCCTAACCGCGAGTGATCCGCCAGCCTCGGCCTCCCGAGGTGCCGGGATTGCAGACGGAGACTCGTTCACTCAGTGCTCAATGGTGCCCAGGCTGGAGTGCAGTGGCGTGATCTCGGCTCGCTACAACCTCCACCTCCCAGCAGCCTGCCTTGGCCTCCCAAAGTGCCGAGATTGCAGCCTCTGCCCGGCCGCCACCCCGTCTGGGAAGTGAGGAGCGTCTCCACCTGGCCGCCCATCGTCTGGGATGTGAGGAGCCCCTCTGCCTGGCTGCCCAGTCTGGAAAGTGAGGAGCGTCTCTGCCCGGCCGCCATCCCATCTAGGAAGTGAGGAGCGCCTCTTCCCGGCCGCCATCACATCTGGGAAGTGAGGAGCGTCTCTGCCCGGCCGCCCATCATCTGAGATGTGGGGAGCACCTCTGCCCTGCCGCCCCATCCGGGATGTGAGGAATGTCTCTGCCCGGCCGCCCCGTCTGAGAAGTGAGGAGACCCTCTGCCTGGCAAACACCCTGTCTGAGAAGTGAGGAGCCCCTCCGCCCGGCAGTCACCCCGTCTCGGAAGTGAGGAGCATCTCCGCCTGGCAGCCACCTCGTTCGGGAGTGAGGTGGGGGTGTCAGCCCCCCGCCTGGCCAGCCACCCCATGCGGGAGGGAGGTGGGGGGTCAGCCGCCCGCCCGGCCAGCCGCCTCCTCCGGGAGGGAGGTGGGTGGGTTAGCCCCCCGCCTGGCCAGCCGCCCCATCCGGGAAGTGAGGGGCGCCTCTGCCCGGCAGCCCCTGATGGGAAGTGAGGAGCCCCTCTGCCCGGCCAGCCGCCCCGTCTGGGAGGGAGGTGGGGGATCAGCTCCCCGCCCGACCAGCCACCCCTTCTGGGGGGGAGGGAGGTGGGCGGGTCAGCCCCCCGCCCGGCCAGCCGCCCCGTCCGGGAGGTGAGGGGCGCCTCTGCCCGGCCGCCCCTACTGGGAACTGAGGAGCCCCTCTGCCCGGCCAGCCACCCCATCCGGGAGGGAAGTGGGGGGGTCAGCCCCCCGCCCGGTCAGCCGCCCCGTCCGGGAGGGAGGTGGGGGGTCAGCCCCCCGCCCGGCCAGCCGCCCCGTCCGGGAGGGAGGTGAGGGGGTCAGCCCCTCGCCCGGCCAGCCGCCCTGTCCAGGAGGGAGGTGGGGGGGTCAGCCCCCCGCCTGGCCAGCCGCCCCGTCCGGGAGGTGAAGGGCGCCTCTGCCCAGCCGCCCCTACTGGGAAGTGAGGAGCCCCTCTGCCCTGCCACCACCCCGTCTGGGAGGTGTACCCAACAGCTCATTGAGAATGGGCCATGATGACAATGGCGGTTTTGTGGAATAGAAAGGGGGGAAAGGTGGGGAAAAGATTGAGAAATCGGATGGTTGCCGTGTCTGTGTAGAAAGAGGTAGACATGGGAGACTTTTCATTTTGTTCTGTACTAAGAAAAATTCTTCTGCCTTGGGATCCTGTTGATCTGTGACCTTACCCCCAACCCTGTGCTCTCTGAAACATGGGCTGTATCCACTCAGGGTTGAATGGATTAAGGGCGGTGCAAGATGTGCTTTGTTAAACAGATGCTTGAAGGCAGCATGCTCCTTAAGAGTCATCACCACTCCCTAATCTCAAGTACCCAGGGACACAAACACTGCGGAAGGCCACAGGGTCCTCTGCCTAGGAAAACCAGAGACCTTTGTTCACTTGTTTATCTGCTGACCTTCCCTCCACTATTGTCCTGTGACCCTGCCAAATCCCCCTCTGCGAGAAACACCCAAGAATGATCAATTAAAAAAAAAAAGAAAACTGATAATGCTTAAAATTAAACATGGTGCAACGTATCACTGACTAAAAACTGATATAAGAAAACATTATTCCAAAAAACATTTAGGTATCCACCACTTAACCCAGGAAAGTAGACCGTGTAGAAATAATGGTCCCTACAGACAATTTGTAGAAGCAGAATCTATAAATTATGATGTGAAAAATTCAGGTAATTTTTGTTTAAATATAGTGATCCTGATAAAAATTCAATTGAATTAAAAATTAGAGAAGATTAACTTGAATTAGTTATGTTTTTATAAAATATAAATTATGAAGTTAAAACGTAATATATAAGTATGCTCTGGAAAACACATTCTCAAATGAATAAAATTTCTTTTTATTGGATTAGTTGAATGTTTGATGTTATCTGTTTATTAAACCCAAGGGGATATCACCACCGATCCCACAGAAATACAAACTACCATCAGAGAATACTATAAACACCTCTATGCAAATAAACTAGAAAATCTAGAAGAAATGGATAAATTCCTCGACACATACACCCACCCAAGACTAAACCAGGAAGAATTTGAATCTCTGAATAGACCAATAACAGGCTCTGAAATTGAGGCAATAATTAATAATTAGCTTTCCAACCAGAAAAAGTCCAGGACCAGATGGATTCACAGCCAAAATCTACCAGAGGTACAAGGAGGAGCTGGTACCATTCCTTCTGAAACTATTCCAATCAATAGAAAAAGAGGGAACCTCCCTAACTCATTTTATGAGGACAGCATCATCCTGATACCAAAGCCTGGCAGAGACACAACAAAAAAAGAGAATTTTAGACCAATATCTCCGATGAAGATCTATGCAAAAATCCTCAATAAAATACTGGCAAACCGAATCCAGCAGCATATCAAAAAGCTTATCCACCATGATCAAGTGGGCTTCATCTCTGGGATGCAAGGCTGGTTCAACATACACAAATCAACAAACGTAATCCACCTTATAAACAGAACCAATGACAAAAAAACCATGTGATTATCTTGAGATATCAAGAGATGCAGAAAAGGCCTTTGACAAAATTCAACAACTCTTCCTGCAAAAAACTCTCAATAAATTAGGAATTGATGAGACGTATCTCAAAGTAATAGGAGCTATCTCTGACAAAGCCATAGCCAATATCATACTAAATGGGCAAAAGCTGGAAGCATTCCCTTTGAAAACAGGCACAAGACAGGGATGCCCTCTCTCACCACTCCTATTCAACATAATGTTGGAAATTCTGGCCAGGGCAATCAGGAAGGAGAAGGAAATAAAGGGTATTCAATTAGGAAAAGAGGAAGTCAAATTGTCCCTGTTTGCAGATGACATGATTGTATATCTAGAAAACCCCATCATCTCAGCCCAAAATCTCCTTAAGCTGATAGGCAACTTCAGCAAAGTCTCAGGATACAAAATCAGTGTGCAAAAATAGTTAGCATTCTTATACACCAATAACAGACAAACAGAGAGCCAAATCGTGAGTGAACTCCCATTCACAATTGCTTCAAAGAGAATAAAATACCTAGGAACCCAACTTACAAGGACGTGAAGGACCTCTTCAAGGAGAACTACAAACCACTGCTCAATGAAATAAAAGAGGATACAAACAAATGGAAGAACATTCCATGCTCATGGGTAGGAATAATCAATATCGTGAAAATGGCCATACTGCCCAAGGTAATTTATAGATTCAATGCCATCCCCATCAAGCTACCAAAGACTTTCTTCACAGAATTAGAAAAAAACTACTTTAAAGTTCATAAGGAACTAAAAAAGAGCCCTCATTGCCAAGTCAATCCTAAACCAAAAGAACAAAGCTGGAGCCATCACGCTACATGACATCAAACTATACTACAAGGCTACAGTGACCAAAACAGCATTGTACTTGTACCAAAACAGAGATATAGACCAATGGAACAGAACAGAGCCCTGAGAAATAATGCCACATATCTACAACCATCTGATCTTTGACAAACCTGACAAACACAAGAAATGGGGAAATGATTCCCTAGTTAATAAATGGTGCTGGGAAAACTGGCTAGCCGTATGTAGAAAGCTGAAACTGGATCCCTTCCTTGCACCTTATACAAAAATTAATTCAAGATGGATTCAAGACTTAAATGTTAGACCTAAAACCGTAAAAACCCTAGAAGAAAACCTAGGCAATACCATTCAGGACATAGGCATGGGGAAGGACTTCATGTCTAGAACACCAAAAGCAATGGCAACAGAAGCCAAAATTGACAAATGGGATCTAATTAAACTAAGGAGCTTCTGCACAGCAAAAGAAACTACCATCAGACTGAACAGGCAACCTACAGAATGGGAGAAAGTTTGTGCCATCTACTCATCTGACGAAGGGCTAATATCCAGAATCTACAATGAACTCAAACAAATTTACAAGAAAAAAACAACCCCATCAAAAAGTGGGTGAAGGATATGAAGACCCTTCTCAAAAGAAGACATTTATGCAGCAAAAAGACACATGGAAAAATGCTCATCATCACTGGCCATCAGAGAAATGCAAATCAAAACCACAATGAGATACCATCTCACACCACTTAGAATGGCGATCATTAAAAAATCAGGAAACAACAGGTGCTGGAGAGGATGTGGAGAAATAGAAACACTTTTACACGGTTGGTGGGACTGTAAACTAGTTCAACCATTGTGGAAGTCAGTGTGGCGATTCCTCAGGGCTCTAGAACTAGAAATACTATTTGACCCAGCCATCCCATTACTGGGTATACACCCAAGGGAGTATAAATCATGCTGCTATAAAGGCACAAGCACAAGTATGTTTATTGCGGCACTGTTCACAATAGCGAAGACTTGGAACCAACCCAAATGTCCAACAATGATAGACTGGATTAAGAAAATGTGGCACATATACACCATGGAACAAAATGCAGCCATAAAAAATGAAGAGTTCATGTCCTTTATAGGGACATGGATGAAGCTGGAACCATCATTCTGAGCAAACTATCCAAGCACAAAACACCAAACACCGCATGTTCTCGCTCATAGGTGGGAATTGACCAAAGAGAACATATGGGCAGAAGAAGGGGAACATCACACTCCGGGGCCTGTTGTGGGGTAGGGTGAGGGGGGACGGATAGCATTTGGAGATATACCTAATGTTAAATGGCGAGTTACTGGGTGCAGCACACCAACATGGCACATGTATACATATGTAACAAACCTGCATGTTGTGCGCATGTACCGTAAAAGTTAAAGTATAATAAAAAAATAAAATAAAATAAAATTTAATTAGAAATGAAAAAAGAAAATTCTACAACTTGAAACTAGATAGAAGATAGATCAGAAACAAAAATAGGAGTAAAGTGTGACTTTCTTCTCACTGTTTGATTATTATAGAGGCATTTTTATTTCATTAAAATCTTATATTTCTGGGGTTAGTTAATGTTATGATATTTTATTTTTAAATAGTTTTATTTTATTTACTTCAGTTAATTTGTAATTTTTGAGGATGCATTGTAGGTGTATATACTTATGGGGTTCATGAGATGTTTTGATGCGGTCTCGCAATGCATAATAATCACATCATAGAGAATGGGATACCCACCCACTCAAGCATTTATTCTTTGGGTTAAAATCTGATTATTCCTTCTTAGCTAGTTTAAAATGTACAATTACATTATTATTGACCAGAGTCATCTCGTTGTGCTATCAAATAATATGTCTTATTTATTCTATTTTTTTGTACACATTAACAGTCCCCACCTTTCCCCCAGCCTCCACTGTCTTTCTTAGCCTCTGAAAACCATCCTTCTGCTCTCTATGTCCGTGAATTCAGTTGTATTAATTCTTCCATCCCACGAATAAGTGAGAACGCACAGTGTTTATCTTTCTGTGCCTGGCTTATTTCACTTAACATACTCTTCTCTTTTATCCATGTTGTCGTAAAAGACAAAATCTCATTTTTATGGCTGAATACTACTCCAATGTATATATGTACTACTTTTTTTATACATTCATTCATTTGTAGACAGTTTGCTTTCAAATCTTAGCTATTGTAAACAGTGCAGCAACAAGCCGATTTTCTTTCTTTTGTGTCAATGCCCATCACTGGGATTGTTGGGTTGCATTGTAGCTGTGGCAGCTCAATTTTTAGCTTTTTGAGGAACCTCCACACTTTTTTATAGTGGTTATACTAATTTACATTCCCACCAAGAGTGCACTAAAGTTTTCTCCACATCCTCGTCAGCACTTGTTATTGTCTGTCTTTGGGATATAAGACATTTTAACTGGAGTGAGATAATATCTTATTGTAGTTCTGATTTTCATTTCTCTGAGGTTTAATGATGTTTAGCAACATTTATATGTCTGTTTGCCATTTGTATGTTTTCTTTGTAGAAATGCCTCCTCCTGGCTGGGTGTTTCATGCCTATAATCTCAGCACTTTGGGATGCCGAGATGGAAGGATCACCTGAGGTCAGGAGTTTGAGATCAGCCTGGCCAACATGGCTAAACCCAGTCTCCACTAAAAATATAAAAATTTGTCAGGCATGTGTTCTGCATGGGAGATGCATGAGGAAGAAGAAAAGGCACACACAATACTTTTAAGGGTAAACATCTTTTGTCTCAATTATATGGCAATACAGATATAATAAGTAAATGATATGATAAGCAAATTGATATGAGAAGGGAAAAAATATATATATTTTTATATATATAAATATATATATTATATATATAAAATTATATATGTATTTATTTACATTTATTTATTTAAATAATTATGTACATAATTATATAATTATTTTTATTTACAGTTATATGTATAAATTATATACATATATATGTATATATATATATACACATATGTTTACACACAGCAGACTACAGAGTATGGAGGAAGCATCACCAGACAGAGAAGCAATAGCCTGGGCTCCAGAGTCAGACACTACACTCACCAGACTATGGAGGATTCATCAACAGACCGGGAAGCAACAGCCTGGGCTACAGAGTTGGCCCCTCATCCCTGCAGAGATGGGGAGAGGTCTCAGGAAGCTCTAGTGCCATCTGGGACCCTAGCTCTTTTTGTAAGGAGTTCTTTGGCATAAGGCCGGGTAACGAGGACTCTTCACTACTGGGCTCAAAAACCACAAAAATGTCAAATTTTTGGCGATTGACTGTTGTTTTTCAATAACTAACATACAGGAACAGATTAAAATAGAAATTTCTCTGAGACACTGGTGGATGAACGCCTGAAGAAACTCACAGAACCTGTTCCGGGACTTGGTGACCATTGTTTGTGTCCATGTTCAATTGAGATAAAATTGAATATTTAACTTTTCTTCCAAATTTGGCTTCAATTTGATACTCAATTGTAGGAAAATACCCTTACAGATACTTGGGGAAAGCATAGTTGATACAGATTACAGACTCAGGGTAAGCACAGGAGAATTAAAAGCACAGTTAATGAAAACCACACCCACCATGGCTGTGCAAGGAGAGTCGTAGTGTGAGAATTGTCAGGGATATACACACAACATTCGGTATGCAGTAAGGTACAGGGACGATTCTCCAACGTAGTCCATTTTTGGTGGCCTCTGGCAATTCCACGCATAGCCAACATTGACTGCAGTTGGCTTCTGTTGCAGTGGTGGCTATGCAGATGATGAATTTATTCTTGGCATCAGACACAGAGACACAGGTACTGACCATTAGTAAACAGGTTATTCTCTGTAATAACCAAAACAGAGGGGAACATAATATTGTTTTTCATCTTTAGGAAACTGTACTATGCCTTCAGTTTCTTCTCCCATAGCTACAAGTTCACCAGCCATAGGAGTAGGATGTGATGGACGCTGTACTCATATTTTGGCTCCAGGATTTAAGCTACGTGTACCAGTGCGTCTGAATCTCCCAGTTCTGTATGTAGCCTCTGTTGGGGCAGAGACATCCTCAGGGGTTAATTGTTGACAAGGTACCACTAAAAATTGAGGAACCCACATCTGCAGTTTTACAGCAAAAGATTCTCGAGTGATATTGTATAAAATGATCTTTAACTCTCCCCTGTAACCACTCTGAATTATACCACCATACATTATGCCGTTCATTGCAAGACTTGAATGTGTTTTAATCCATTCATCCGCATTCAAATTTGCAACTATGGTGGAAATTTTGGCCTGTTGATCTGTCTGCTGATTAAATAGTCTGTCGAGAAAGCAGAGACACATGAGCATCAACATGAAAAACAGTGATAATGATAGTGTGCACCAGGATTCAGGTATCTTCCCAGGAGTGTTTTCCCTCTTTATGCCTAATTAACCATTTGTAAAGATAAAATAGAGAATGAAGGTGGTGTCGGTGAGATTGGACATCAAAAGACACAAAAGGAATGTGACATGGTGACCTGAGAAAGGAATAGAGAGAGAAATTAAAATAGACAAAAAGGGGAATCAGCAAGGAGATGGAGGAGGCAGAATAGAAGAGGGGACTCAACAAACAGGAGCAGTTGGTGCAACAGAGGGTGCATCGCATACTTGTACGACGCTTCTTTCATTTTCTAGTTACTTTTCCTTTTAAATTTGTGTCAGATTTAGTTAAGGTGTCAACGTTTTTTTAAATCTTTTTATATACTGAAAATATTCTTTGCTGTTTAGTAAATAACTTTCAGTATTTCAATTTGCTCTTGATAAGAGTATTAATTTTTAAATCAACAGACAACATTCAGTAAAACTAGTTAGTCTAATATGCAGCAGCTTCTTCTCTTCCACATGTGATTTGGGAAATTAATGCACTGTGAGACGAAATTTCCAAGTCTATGATGTCTTTAAGTTCCCTTTGCTCTTTTTTTTTTTAGCAGATATTGAAGAATGGGCTGGCTGGGCATGAAACTTTCTTCCACCAAGACCATCTTTTCATGATAAATACATTGTCCTGAGTTATTTTTATAGCTAATCCTCTTTCTTGTTTCCAATTGTCAATTATTACATATTTTCAACTTTATAATTTTGGAAGTTCGATGTGATTTCTCAAAAAAAAGAAAGAAAAAAAGAAAATGCTTGAGTTTAATGTGATTAGAATAACAGAGAAGTTTCTCCTGGTCAAGAGTATAAAATTTGGTCTGAGACCTTTAGCCAGTGCTGGTGACTCTCTGCTGGCCTGTCCTCATCCTATCCCTCCCTTCCCAAACATACACTTACACAGTCACAAGGCAGCTGAGGAGAGGAGAGCACAGACTTTAAACTCTGTATGTGTATATATTTTAAGATAGAACCTTGCTCTGTTGCCCAGGATGGAGTGTAGTGGCACTATCTCGGCTCACTGTAGGCTCCACCTCTGAGTTCAGGCGATTCTCGTGCCTCAGTCTCCCAAGTAGCTGGGATTACAGGTGCCTACCACTATGCCCAGCAAATTTGTGTGTTTTTAGTAGAGTCAGGGTTTTGCCATGTTCCCCAGGTTGGTATCATACTCTTAGCCTCAAGCGAGCCACTGGCCTTGGCCTCCCAAAGTGCTGGAATTACAGGCATGAGCCACAATACCCGGCCTGTCTTTATATGATTTCTTTGGCTGTAAAGAGTATCAGTGGTGTCTGTACCTTTCTCAGCGGCTTAGGGTATCGTTTTTAGCAGAGGCTGTGGTAAAGTTTTGCTGGGAATAGGGGCACCAGAGGTTTAGTCATTGGATCCCAGTGATGGCAGTGGTGAGCTTACCATGCCTGCTTTTGGGCCTCAAGGCAGTTATGCTGGCAGCAGTGTTAACAGGTCCAGGAAGACTAATTATTTGGCCTTCATGTGATTTGCTCAGGTGTCAGCAGTGAGCAAGGTGGGTGGGCAGCTTCTTGAGCCCCTGGACAGTGGTTATGGCATGGATGATGGCAGTAGCAACGACAAGAAAAACCTCTGACTCCCAAGCGTTCCATGCTGGTGTTGGTGTTTGCTGTGATGGGCTGGGAAGGCCAGTTTCTAGGAACACAGGTGGTGTATATATGTGGGTATCAGCTGCGTTAGTAGCTCCAGGTTCAGTGAGTCCATCCTCAGGTCTCAGAGAAGAGTGCTCAGGTGCCAATCTTGTTAGACTTCACTGGACTGAAGTCCATATTTTAAGCACTATCTGGCTCCACACACTCATTGGCCGTTCTTATCATCACTCTGAGCCCATTAACCCCGCAGCAGAAAAACATCAGGAAAGTTTTTAATATTTCTTCTTTGGGGCACAGTATGCAAGGAAAGGAATTGTATTAAGAGATGAAGTAAGTACTCTTATTAGAAAAAGGAACACTTTGGGGCCAGAAATGGACCAGTGTCCAAGGCATGCAGAAAGCAGGAAATAATTACCGGGTCATGGGATGGAACTATGGAGAGTGACTAAAGTTTCAAGATCATAAACCAGTCTTTAGTTGCTCCTAATTTAATTTAATGCAATCCTCACTCTTTGTCATCATTTGGTTTTAATGTATAAAGCTATGGGGTCTGCTTATTGTATGTTTTGTAGTATAATTTGGAAATTAATCTATCAGCTCTTTTTTCTCAGCCCAGTTGGTGTCTTGTCAACTCCTCTGCACGAATTGCTTCTTGTTTTCTCACAGTCCAGCCCTATGTTCTCATGAGCTGTGACCCTGGGGTATCCAGGCTCTGGTTTGCCTGCTGTGGAAAAAGTGCAGCTTTCTAAGCTGGTCACATATCTCTACATTAAATGTACATTGTCTTTTTAAAGCAATGTTCAGACATTCATATATTCTTTCTTCCTGAGGTTTAAGCACCACAAGCAGCAGTCATATAATGGAGAGATTCTCAACAACAGAGTGAGTCTCTGCCATAATTGGATTTATTATACGTTAGAAACAGCAGTTACATACTAAATGTTTTACAAAGTGTTTTTTATAATTTTTATTTCCTTAAATATTGCAAATAGAAAATTTAGAGGTCCAACATTTATTTAAAATTTGGCTCTTGTAATTTGCAGTGGAAAGCTTATATGAGTATCTAACTCTAAACCAATTAATTAAAAATGCTCTGGGGTTAACTGGGCACCAAAGTATAAGAAAATTTTAATTAAGTGAAAAAGTCTAAGTAATGACCAACTAAGGAAATAAAAAGGAAATTATACTTTCAACCCCCTTTCCCCCAGTTGCTCTATGCTCTATTTTTTTTCTATTGCCAAGTTGTACAATTTTATTTTTGTCCTTGATAATTGTACTTTATTTTAACGTGACTAGATTATATTTTATTTTATTTTATTTTATTTTATTTTGTTTTATTTTATTTTAATGTGACTAGATTTTGCCTCACTCCAGGCTGGAGTACGGTAGCATGATTATAGTTCACTGTAACCTCAACTTCCTGAGTTCAAGTAATCCTCCTGCCTCAGCCTTCTAAGTAGTTGAGACCACAGTTACATGCTATAATGTCAAAATAATTTTTAAAACATTTTCAGTGACAAGGTCTTGCTTAGGCTTGTCTCAAACTTCTGGCCTTAATTGATCCTCTGGCCTCAGCATCCCTAGCAGCTGAAATTTCAAGTGTGAGCCACTGAGCCCAGCTCTTTATTTTTATAAATATTTATCTCCTTAGTTTTTTCTGAAGCATTTTCAACACCTTCACCTGAACTTTCAGGCTTTCAACTCACAGTTGATTTTATCCATTTTGCTATTCATCCTATTTATTCTATTGCTTGTATACTTTTGTAACATATTTAATATTTTGAGTTTTAAATTCTTGCTACTTATATGTATGTATTTTTAGTTGTCTCTTTTGCAAGGCTGCGATTCTCTCTAGAGAAGAGAATGGGCTCTATGCTTTCTTGAGAAAAGCATTTTATAACATGGGAGTAAAACAGACCCTGTGGAAAATAAAATAAAAGGCATTTTAATCATGATTTTTTATAAATTGCTATTTGGGAGACACAAATTTAGCAAGAAGCTATATCATGTTCCATTCAGATGAGGTTAGGGAGGGACTTATAAAGTTTTACTGCAAGTTTACACAAGTGAAAGATTTTAGCACAGTCTATGATGGACAATGTTTGATTGCCAGCTTAGACTGTATCTAGGCAATCATCAGCTTAATTCAGCACAGCTTTCTCTTCAGGAGGTTTGTGATCAGGCTCGGTATAAACAATCCAAGTCAAATGCAGTTGCCTTTTTAGGACATCTGTAATTTTCCCAGTTCGAACAGGTAAAATTCCACCTGGGTGTGTATGAGTATTAATTCAACTCCTCATGTCCTCCTAGTTGTCTTTAGAGACCTCTCAAATAACTATCTCCATTTTGGATTTCTTTTAATTAGAAATAAAGAGAGCAAGGATTATCACTGGTTGGGAATATAGAAAAATAGTGCCCACCTGTGATTCATCGGACCCCAGTCAGAGAGAAAAGGCCAAGATATGCCTGACAGAAAGGCTTGAGGACCTTTAGGTAATTTATTCCTCAAAAAGAATTGGTTCACACCTGTAATTCCAGCACTTTGGAAGGCCAAGGCGGGCAGATTATTGGAGGTCAGGAGTTCAAGACCAGCCTGACAAACATAGTGAAACTAAAAATACAAAATTTACTAAACATACTAAACGTACAAAAATTAGCTGGACATGAAGCTGGGTGCCTGTAATCTCAGCTACACAGAAGCCTGAGGCAGCAGAATCTCTTGAACCCAGGAGGTGGAGATCGCAGTGAGCCAAGATTGTACCAATGTACTCCAGCCTGGGTGACACAGCAAGACTCTGTCTCAGAAAGAAAAAATTGGATAAAGAATTGCCCTAATGCTGGGAATTTTACCTCATAGGTAGTAAAAATATTTACAGAATAAGGCCCAGGTGTAGCCATAAAGTGGCATTACAATTCTTTCATTCTAGATAAGAAACTAACTTAAAAAAAGAATAGAAATTCTAAGGTAAGAGACAAAACTCTGGGAGGATTTACATCTAAGGTAAAGGCTCAATCACAGGACACCAGAAGAAGATTGAGAATGCAGCTTCCTTTCTGCCCTGCATCCATTGTCAATAGACTTTCCCTGGCCTTCTCCTTTTGACTTTGGTCATTTTATTTTATAATGTTTTTTTCCACATAGACCTGATGCAACTCCAGAGTTGGAAGAAAAAACAACAATGTTCTAATAGTTGCTTAGAGGAAACCTCAGCAAGTGAAGCAGAAGTTGATTTATTTTTTGTAAAATCATAGAAAGGTATTCATCCTCCTGATCTCTGCAACTGCTTTTTAAAGAAATCTATATTTCCAAGACTGTCGCTATGCTTTGTGAAAATACCTTCAAATTATTAATTCTGCAAGTTCGAATGATCTATCTTCACTCTTTCCTTGGGTTAATATTAAAATGAACATATGCTCTGAGAAAAATGGACCTGGGTGTCTTATCCGGCAGCCAGAAACTATGACTGCTTTTCTCTTCTTCCTCATACATTATGCTGCCGACTCTTTAGGATTTCATAATTCAAGGAGAAATGTTAGAGTCTGTATCTCATTTAAGCTTACACAAGTGAAATAAAAAGAACCACAACCACAACTCCGATTTTGTAGTAGAATGAGATTTTCATATAATATTCGACTCTAGCATTTACTATTTACGAAAAATAAATATTTCCCCTCCTCTCTGGATAAACACATTCTGGGGAAGAGCTCTCAGGGAGATGGAGAAGAGCTGTCTCTTCTTCTTCTGATTTTCAGTTGTTCCAGCAAATGTCTCACAATATTCTTTACATTGAAGCTGCAGGAAATGAACCAAAACACCAAGTGCCTTAGTTGGGCCCTGCTGCTGAGGAAGAGGCTGTGTTTGAGCTGGTCTCAGTTTGCCCTGTCACTGACATAGGACTCTGTACTGGGGCCCGGCTACTAGATGGAAGGGCTAAATTATGTTGGGACTTCCCTCAGAATTATGGCTCACCCTCCTCCCTCATCTGCATTCTGAGCTCCAGGCACTGTGTAGAGCACTCCGTTCATTGACAGTTCCCATGTATCCCTGATATGTGAGTCATCAGCACGGCTGCACTTCACAGAGGACAAAATGAAATCGAGGGGAGGAGAGGCAACTCTCGCCACCTGCAGGACTGGTCAGTGGTGGAGCCGGGATCCCAGAGTCAGCTTTTAGGATCACTTCACTCATATTAAGCCCAAAACTTCACTGAGCCTTTTAAAATAAAGGGATACTGATTGTCCCACCTCACAGCCCTCGGGTAAAGCTAGATCAGGCTCAATGTGGAGGGCACTGAGCACAGCACAAGTTGCATGTGAGTGGGGACTGTCATTGTTTCCTGGGGCCCTCAGGTTTAGAGGTTTCCTGTCATGTAGTGACAGCTGGCTTAGGGGGCATTAGGGGAGGGGCTTCCCCACAGTTTGTTGCAACAGCCACCTGGCTCAACCAGGAATGTTCCAAAGTCATCCAGATAATTTCCCAGATGACCACTCAGTCATGTGGTGTCCTACTACCCATGGGATACAGCCTAAACTTTTTATCATAGGAGGAATAATTTCTAGTGTCTGACAGCACAGTAGGATAACTACAGTTAGCACTAATTTTTAATATATTTTAAAATAGATAGAAGAGATGGCTTTAAATTCTCCCAACACAAAGGAAATTTTTCAAACACAAAGAAAATAATATCCATGTTTGAGGTGATGGATATTCTAATTACCCTGATTTGATCACTGTACATTGCATGCATGTATCAAAATATCACTCATGCACCACAAATATATACTATTATTATGTATCAACAAAGGGAAAATTGCTAAAAGTGGCTCCCAACTAAAAAAAAAAAGTCAATTTCTAAGTCACAGAAAAAGATGCTCACTTTAAATTGTAAGTTCTGTGACAGAATGTAAAGGTTTGCATAGTCACTTTTACAGTCCCAGACTATCATGCATAGAACTGCCTGGCCCCGTGTGTATGTACACACAGAGATACAACCATGCTTCTCTAGTGGGGCATTTTTTTCTCCCTGAAACATTTGCCAATGTTTGGAAACCTGTCTTGCTGTCTGGTTATTTTAGTAAATTGATTATGACTGTAATTAGGCCCAATTTAGTGACTGTAATTAGGCCCACTTGCTGTCTGCACATAGATGATCAGGGGCAAGTAGTCGAAGATATAGTTAAAGACATGATGAAACTGGCACATGTGCCAGTACAGGTGTGGCACCGATTTGACACTGAGGCCATGTTTGAAAATGGTTCCCGGCACTAGAAGGATTTAAAACTCTTATAATGGAAACTATAGTAGTAATAGGAACCTGCTTACTGATCTCTTGCTTACTAGCTGTACTCATTCAAGTGGTAAAAGTTTTCATGGCAACTCTAGTTCACCAGAACGCTTCAGCACGAGTGTACTACATGAATCACTATCAATCTGTGATAGAGGAAGACATAGGTAGTGAGGAAGAAGGTGAGAACTCCCACTAATAAAATGAGTGAGAGTCTCAAAGGGGGAAAATAAGGGAGGAGACCAACCCTCATATTGTCTTATACCCAATTTCTGCCTCCAAAGAAAGAAGAAGTAAAAACTAGAAGGCAGAAATGAAATCCACAAGCAGACAGCCCAGCGCCACACCCTGGGCCTGGTAGTTAAAGGTCAACCCCTGACCTAATCGGTTATTTGTATAAAAAATGCACTGTGAAGATCCCTGTCCTGTTCAGTACCTTTCTAATTACCAGTGTATGCAGCCCCCAGTCACATACCCACTGCTTGCTCAATAGATCGTGACCCTCTCATGCGGACCCCCTTAGAGTTGTGAGCCCTTAAAAGGGACAGGAATTGCTCACTCGGAGGGTTCAGCTCTTGGGAAAGAAGTCTTGCTGAAGCTCCCAGGTGAATAAACACCTTCTTTCTTTAACTCAGTGTCCAAGGGGTTTTGTCTGCCGCTCTTCCTGTTACATTGGGAGAGGCCAATGTGGGCAGCGACATGGGGAGGCACAGATCCCTTAGTGGTGGCTGTGTGCTCTGAGGCGAATGTGGGGAAAATCAGACCTAAGATGCTTCATATGGCTGATAGTACCAGCTTTACAGCTGCAGCAGTCTGCGACAGGGGAAGGCATGGTCCTGGCTAAGCAGCATCTGAAACTCCCGCAATAGGACCAGGTCTGGTGGACTCAAGAGTGAAAGTCAGAGTGAAAGTGAACTGCAAGAGAGGAAATGAGAGTGAAAACATCAAAAGTGGCTCCTTTGAAAAGCATAATAAAGAATTTTAAAAAAAGAGTTAGAGGTGATTATAGGATGAAACTGAGTGTTCAAAAGTTAAGGACATACTGTGAATTAGAATAGCCCTGTTTTAGTGTCAGATGGCTTGCCAAAGGCACTATAGAAAAATTGGCCGTGTGTTTTAAGGTGGTGACTAGGGTCAGAGAACAGCCAGGACATTCAGACCTAGTCTTTATATTGACTCATGGCTAAATGAATGCAGCCCTGCCTAGCAGTTTACTGTAGAATGCTCGCAGCTCACGGCAAGAGAAAATCAGCTGCTCTGGCAGCTACAGAGTTAAAAGGAGACACAGAGGCTTGTAGCACCTCCCAGCCAAAAGTGAAAGTAAAATCAGCTGCCCCAGCAGCTGAAGACAAATGAAAAAATCTCAGAAAAGGCAGAAAAACCGGTTTTGTCACAACCACAGAAAAGAATAGAGACCGCTCCTCCTTACATTCCAATCTACCCCCTTTACCAAGGTAACTGTCCCTAAGGAGTTAAGTTCAAATGGATACATGCTGCCAGTCTCACCCGAGAAGGTGAAATGAGAGCGAAAATCAGGCAGGCCGTCTCAGGTCTGGTCGTGCATAAGATATGCTCATGCCTCTTAAGAGGACAGGAGGACCCCCACTAAGACCCAGATGATGCAGTCCAGATTCAGCACCTGCAAAGGTGCCGAGAAGCCCATCTGCAAAGGCTAAAGGATGGTAAAAGAAAAAGGCAATCAATATTTTAAAAAATCTCAGACATGCTTCAGGGTGCAGATAAAAGCACAGCAAGTTCTATGAAAGACTTTGTGAGGCATTTTTATTGTACACTCCGTTTAACCCTGAGGCTACTCAAAAATAAGTGCAGGGTGAATCCAGCACTTGTAAGGCAGACCCAAGGAGATATCAGGCATAAATTGCAGAAGTTACAAGCTCCGTAGGCGTGAATGCTACTCAGCTTATTAAAGTGACAACCAAGGTGTTAATTAACCGAGATGAGGAGGCAAAGGAAAAGGCTGATCACAGGCTTAAGAAAGGCTAACTTACTAGCAGCAGCCCTTCCGGGAAGAGGAGCTGGCTTTACAAGGAGGCATGGACGCGGGCGTGAACGTAGTCATGAAAAAGGCTAGTCTGGACAGGAGTGTGAAGGCCAGCCGAGGCTAGAGAGAGATTAATGTGCATGGTGCAAAAGGAAAGACACTGGAAGCATAAATGTCAAAGAAATAATGAAAATGATCAGGGCAATAGTAAAAGAAACAAAAAACAAACCAAAAAAACCCAAAAAAACAGAACCAAAAAATCACACACACACACCAGCCAAGGGCTACTACACGCAGAAGAAACGCAAGAACCACTGCACCTGCTGTAGAAGGCAGAATAAAAAGTGTCAGAAAAAAGCTCAAATCTCCTCTAAAAGTGTCTAATATTTAAGCTTTTATATAAGCCAAGAGGAAAGATGGCTTAGTCCTGAAAAAAAGCAGGCTGTTTGTGCACTTTCTACTCCAACCACCCGGTGTCAAGTAAGAGAGTTTCTAAGAGCAGCAAGGTTCTGCCGCGTTTACAACCCAAATTTCTTGCTCATGGTCAAGCCATCATACCAAGCCACTAAGAGGAGGAAAAAAGGAGCCCCTCCTCTAGGAGGCCAAAGAGGAGAAGGATTTTAAAGAAATCAAAGAAGCCTTGACTCAGGCCCCAGCTTTAGGACTGCCAGATCTAACTAATCAAGCTTTTCTTCTTGTATGTGCACAAGTGAAAGGGAGGCCATAGGGGTTCTGACTCAAGCCATAAGGTCATGGCATCGCCTGGTGGCATATTTATCCAGGCAATTAGATTCTTTTGCACTTGGATGGCCTCCTTGTCTTAAAGCACTAGCAGCCACTGCCGTACTGGTGCAGGAAGCTAGTAAACTAACTTTAGAGACTGTGAATACCCTAAATCCGGCTACCTTACTCTCATCGAGTCAGTGCCAGGAGGACCGTTTCATTGTGGTGTGGACGTGGTAGATGAAGTGTTCTCAAGCCAGAGAGATTTGACAGATCAGTCCCTCAGGGACCCAAACATTGAATATTCTACTGATGGAAGCAGTTTCATACTAAAAGGAGCCCGCCAAGCTGTGTATGCAGTGGTGACTTTAGACTCAACAGTAGAGGTGCAGTCTTCATCTACAGAAACATGATTAGAAAGCAGAACTAAGAGCTCTGACAAGAGTTCTCTGGCTAGCAAAAGACCAAAAGACCAATATTTATACAGGTTCCAAATATGCTTCTGCCACTTTGCATGTTCATAAGGTTATTTACAAAGAAAAAAAGAAGACTTTTAACTGCTGGAAACAAAGAAATAAAGTACAAGGAAGACATCCTACAGCTCTTAAACGCTGTATGGGCCCCAAAAGTGACGGTAGTGAAGTCCTGCAAGAGGCAGCAAAAAGCAAGAACACTAAGGGCTAAAAAAGATACGAAGGCAAAGAGGCAAAGAAGGCTGCAATGACAACTCCACCTAAAGAAGACGCCTTAGCTATGCCTCTCCTCCCGGAGATTCCCCTCCTGGAGATCCCAATCTTCACTCCAAATAACAGAGCTTGGCTTCCCCAGGAAAATAAGAACTACATTGAAAGAGGATAATACAAATTCTTCAATGGGAGGCTAGCCATACCTGAAATGGTGACCCCCAGATTTGTAAAACAATTCCACCACCGAACTCAGATTAAAAAAAAAAATAAAGACACTATTAAGGCATCATTTTTATCTGCCATGGCTCATTGCTATTACTCGGGCCATTTGTAAACTGTGTTTAACTTACACTCGGAACAATCCACGACAAGATCCTACTCGGCCCATGGGAGTTCAGGAAAAAGGAGCCATGCCCTGTGAAAATCTGCTTATGGACTTCACTGAATGACCCTGAGACGGGGGCTATCAGTACATATTGGTGTTCATTTGCACCTTTTCAGGATAGCTCAAGGCCTTTACCACCAGGACAGAGAGGGCACTAGACGTGACCAAGGCGTTAAGAGACATTGTTTCCAGATTTCGGCTGCCTCTAACTCTAAGATCAGAGAATGGACCAACATTTGTGGCTAAAATAGTTCAGGACTTAACTCGACTATTAAAAATAAAATGGAAATAACATACAGCCTACAGGTAGCAGATCTCAGGTAAAGTGGAGAGCATAAACTGGACACTCAAGCAGCTGTTGAAGAAATTTTGTCGAAAAACTCATCTGAAGTAATATCAGGTCTTGCCCATGGTCCTCTTATGAGTCAGGTGCACCCCCACCAAAAAACTGAGTATTCGCCCTCTGAGATTTTGTTCAGCTGCCCACCCCCCAGAAAAATCAGATTCAGGGTAATCTCTGTAAATTGGGAAAACTAACTTTAAGAAGGCAAATGCAGGCTTTAAGTATGGCTATACTAAAATGCATGGTTAAGTATGTAAAAAAATGCCTATAAGTCTAACAGACCCAGTACACCCTTTCAAACCTAGGGACTTCGTTTAGGTAAAAAATGGAATTCAACCACTCTAGGACCCGTATACGATAGGCGCCATATTGTAATCATGTCTACTCCCACTGCTGTTAAAGTTGCAGGTGCCACACCTTGGATTCACCATAGCCATCTAAAACCAGTGACAGTAGCGAGTCCTGATGACAACCTGTGGATTAGCCAACAAGACCCAGATTGCCCCACTCGAATAGCCCTATGGCAAATCTCAGCCACCGGTAAAAAGGACAACCGCCCTGCTCTGACCACACTGGAGGCTGGTCAGTCTAAGCATGGCTGAAGCTTAAGGATTCTTCAAACTCTGCTCTAGTCACATCCCGGAAGCTGACTAGTGTACACACAGCCGAAGCTAAGAGGACCATGTCCAGATAAGTAAATGTGAATACAATTTATAACCATAGTTACAATTCTGTCAATACTGATTGTTCCGTTGTTATGTTATTACTGCAAATGCTGCAAATGTCTATGCCCAGAGGAAAGTTTTTGTGCCCATGTGTAGTGTAAGCATGTTTCTATTACATACAACAATGTTGTTACCATTTATGCTTATACTGAAAGGGGACAAATCTCTTGAAGGATGTCCACGCTGTGTACACATTACCTGGATAAAAAATACCACAGTTAAAACTCTACTGTACCATACCTACTATGAATGTACAGGAAGCAAATTAGGAATATGCACATACAACCAGACCACCTATTCAGTCTGTGACTGAGGAAATAATCAGCTATATGTATGTTATGAGCCTGGGCTCTTACCCTATTAATTCTATTTTGAGGTACATATTAAATCAGAGGGAGAAACAGAAGGAAAGCTTATAGCTCAAACCAAAGAAATCCCACCCTTCTAAAAAGGGCCTATTTCTTCTTTGATGACTGCCATGCCACGTATGTTCATAATCCTAAAAACCAGATTGTAAGACAAGGACATGCGATCCTTTAAATTTTACTATCTTAAAGCCAGAGCTACCTTTTTGGTCTACAGGACAGACAGCACTATTACGAGTTGATAGACAAGGAGCAGGTCTTGGAGTTCCACTACTAATTGTCAAAAATACTATAAGGACTCAAATGCATCCAACCCCTCAATACCAAGTCATTCTGTAAACATTTTGATCAGCCAGTGACCGAGGTTCCCCCATCAACCAAAAACTTATTTGCTCAACTAGCTGAAGACACAGATGACAGCTTAAAAATTTCTTCATGCTATGTATGTAGAGAAACTAATATGGAGAATGAGTGGCAATGGGAGGCAAAGGAATTAATGCCACAAGATAACTTCACTCTGCTTAACCCTGCCAGTGAACCAACAGCCTCAGCCAGTGTTTGATTGTTAGAAATCTCCATAACTGGAAAGTACTGTATCACTCGATGGGGAAAGGCTTTCACAGAGGCAGTAGGAAAAACAACCTGCCTAGGGCAACAGTATTATTACGAGACTAAAAACAAAACTCTATGAAGAAATGCCCAGAATGACTCCTACTTACCAGATCCAAACACTTTCTCTGGATTCCTTACTCTAAGCTGCACTTGGCATCAGGTAGATGATTCAAATGCTTGAAAGGCACCCTCTGGCCTATATTGGATCTGTGGAGCATGGGCATATTGGCAACTGCCAGCAAAATGGGCAGGGGCGTGTCTGTTAAAAGCAATCAAGCCATCCTTCTTTCTAATTCCTCTAAAGCAAGGGAAATTCTTAGAATATCCAGTTTATAATAAAAATAAAAGAAGAACTAGAAAAAGCATAATCACAAAAGTAACAAAAATATCAAAAAAGATGTGGACACAGGAGACTAAAAAGGTAATAAATGACCTCCTGAAAGAATCATGACATGCTATGGGCCAGCTACCTAGGTGCAAGACAGGTCATGAGGGTACTGCACCATAATCTGTATCCTCAGCCGCATCATGAAGTTGCAGGCAGTCCTTCAAATCATAACCAATGAAATATCGAGGGCACTAGATTTATTGGCAATACAAGCAACACAAAAAGGAAATGCTATATATCAAAATAGGCTGGCTTTAAATTATCTCTTATCCTCCGAAGGAGGAATATGTAGAAAATTTAATTTAACCAACTGTTGCCTAGAAATCAATAGCCAAGAAATCAATATTAGTGGTCATAAAAATTACAGCTAGAATGCACAAGTTGGCCCAGGTTCCACTTCAGACTTGATCCAGGTAGTCCCCGGATTCCTTGTTTGGAGGATGGTTCTCAGCATTTGAAAAATTCTAAACCCTCATTAGTAGGTTCTTGCTTATTCTTTGCATCTGCCTTATCCTCCCTTGCCTTTTGTCTCTGTTTATTAGGAGTATTCAGTCAACTATGGAGGCAATGGTAGCCCAAAACACTACTGTACAGTTGATGCATTAACCAGATATCAGCCACCGCCAGAAGAAGAAAAAGCTCAGCTCCATGAAGACTTGGCAAATAATGGTGCTTTCTATTAACACCTCTGTTATAAAAAGCACCAATGGGGAGAATGGAACAGGAATTATAAGAGATTAAAGAGTGTGTAAGCAGAAACTCACTTGTGTGTAAGAAAACCCAACTTCTGTTGAGAAAGAGTAAGAGCTGCAGTCCTTTAAAAACTAACTGCCTGTTTTTCTGTGGCTAGTGATCCTTATCTCTCCTCCTTTCCCAGGGATTGTGAAGACCCTGTTTCCCAAGCTGTGAAGCTGCAAGGTCACTAGACAGATAAATTCAAGTCACAAAACAGGTTTTTCCTTGAAAAGTAAGAAATAATGTAATGCATGTCTCAATTGAATAACTGTCTTTGTTTCTTGCTTCTGTAGTATGATTCTCCCTGCACAAATCTCTCCCCACCCATGAAATGCTTAAAAGGTAACTTAACTCTTTGTTCAGGACTCATTCTTTGGATGTTAATCCGACTGGACCAGTGCACCTAAATAATTAATAAATACCCTCCTGAACCCCATCGGCCTCTCTGATTTCTTAAAATTCCACTACATACAGACTTCTCTACTATTGACCCCCACATTCTTTTCTTCCACACAGGAAGTCCACATATAAAATCGTGTGTGAAACTATTCTATTTGAGGTGTATTTCTGTGCCCTAGGATCCAGGTAATCCCTTACATTTTAAATTCTTGCTTTTTTTGTGGCTCACAGTATGATGTTATCAAAAATTAGGCAAATATTCTGATACTTTCTTAATTTTACAAGGGGAGAATTGTCCTTAGATAATTACATTCTGGAAAGGCCATAATGAGCAACTCTGGACCTGATTGATTGTCATTTTTGGGTCCACTGCAGGGCTGCATACTAAGGGACAGTGGTCATTCTGAGTTCATAGAAAAAACCTGACATGAGAGGGGACATTTTGCTAGACATGCCACCTGGTGCACAGAGCTGAAAAATGAGACCTGCTGGTGACGTGCTTATCAAGCTTAGGGTCTTGAGGGTTTTTTAAATTCCGTGCTTTAAAAGCTGGCCTCACATCCTGAGTTCAGAAAAACCAAAATTTTTTGTTTTCTATAGACTTTTTGGTTGAAAATCCCTTTTCCATGGACTTTTAAAGTAGTTATTTACAGCACAAGCCCCATGTCTAGTAACAAAGGTGTCAGCCATCTTCAAAATGTGTTTTTACTAATACTTTATTTTTAAGCTTTATTAACTAAAGATATATTTATTTATAGTCACTTTGAGTCTCCAGGATAAATATTAGTCTTAAATTGTTATTTCTCATAAAGTCTTGGAGGTTGCTAAGTTCTACTGTTTTGCACGTAAAGAATCAAGAAACTCTTTAGTACAATATTAGAAAATACTTGTATTTACTTAGATTTTATAGTACTATTTTTATTTTTCTCTTTATTTCTTAGATATAGGTACTCAAATTTCTACAAACTGACAACATAATATGCTTACTTGAAAATATTACCAGAATAATTGAAGTTGATAATTAAAAATGAAAGATAAAAAATGTGAGAATTGCTGAAGTCTTGTGGTGGGTATGTATGATAAATGTTAGTTTATAATTCTCCCTATGTTTGCTAAGATTTTTTATTTTCATAATATCTTTTAAATATATAATTTAAGAATTTTATGGAAACTTTCACATACTGTATATTAGCCTTGTTTTACAATAAAACAAGTCAAACATCTTCTCACATGTTTTATCAATATATTTAGGAGTTCAATATTGAATTTGAGTGTTGAAATTGGTTACAAATGAGGGACAAAAGAGCAGCTTTCTAATTGGCCATACACTAAAAGTACCAGCAACTGTGGACAGGGGTGCCACTAACACACTTTATTTAACATTTTTGCTGTGAGTCATTTTTGATAAGGAATATTTTAACCCTATGATGACATCATAACAAGTTTCTAATAATCAGTGACTCAGAGTGGTCTTCAATAGTGTACTATTATTTAATTTACATTTCTGGCCTGCTAAATCTAAGCAGGTAATTTATGTCTATTAATACATTTTACAATTGTAATTTTTTTCTTATAACTATTTGCCATGAAGATTTTAATGTTATAACTATATCTTTGTCTTTTCCTCTTTATTTAACATGCCTTGAGATGAACAATAAATGGGTTTGGTTTTACAGTCTGTGACTTAGTTCTCCAAAAGTCAACAGTTTCATTTGGAAACATTTTAGAGGGATATAATTTTATAACAAAACCATCACATGTTTTAAGTGTACAATTCCAAGTTTTTAAAGTGTATTTACAGACACCCATAACCGCAATCTAATTTTGAAATAACCTTATCACTATGGAAAAAGAAATTAATCTCTTTTGTACTTACTGATTTCATTACCCTGGTCATAGGCAATCATTAGCCTGTTTTTATATATAAGCCTTTTATTAAAAGTTATTTTAAGTGAAATCATAAATTATCTGCCCTTTTGCATTTGGTTTATTTTACTTACTTTAGTGATTTTGAGGTTTTTTCCTGACATAGCAGGTATTATTACTTCATTTTCTTTGTTTGGCACATAGTATTTTATTGTATGGACACACCACACGTTATTTTTTCTGTTATTATTTGATGGATATTTTGGTTTTATCCCCTTTGGGCTATTACAAATACTGCTGCTTTGATCATTTACATCTGATTCTTTGTGTAGTCATAGGTTTTCATTTCTTTTGAGTACGTAACAGAGTAAAATGTCTCAGTCATATGGTGATACTATTTATAGCATTTTGAATAATTGCCAAATTGTTCTTTAAATCGGTTGTTTTTTACACTCCCACATACAATGTGTGAGGCTTTCATATTTTTGATATCTTTGGCAACCTTTTTTATTGCCTTTTACAGGTCTTCTACTAAGTATGTCATTGAGCTTTTGATTTGCATTTCTCTAAACTAATAATGTCACATATTTTAAATTTAATGACAAATTTTGCTTCTTATCTGTAGAAATTTTTAATTCAAATTCCTTGCACATTTTTCAAGTAGTCAATTGTCTATTTATTATTGATTTATAAGACTTTGTGTATTTGAGCAAGATGGCTGAATAGACAAGCCAAGGTGGAACAGCTGACACCAAGGGACCAGGATGACTGGCACACTCTTAACCGAGGGCAGGTACTGATAGTGGAAGGAGGAAAGACACAACATCTGAACTTAAGATTCAGAAGCTGGGAACCCTGCACAGGGCTAAAGCACAGTGGAACTGATTTCTGGCCCCCAGTGACTCTGAGAAAAACAGGTGAGTTTAAGTGGCAAGGAGCTACCTGCTTTCCTGACTGGCCTCTGGAATCCCACTGGCAGAGACCCTCTGACCATCATGGAAAATGAGTTGAAAGGAAGAGCTGCTTAGAGAAGTGACAGGGGCAGCGCACCAGCCAGTGCACAGCCAAGAGGGTTTATTGTGGGAACATGTGTAGTGAAGCATGTCCAGGGATGCCCACACCAATAAGCTTAACTTGCTCCCATAAGAGACGTTAGCCCTAGGGGAAATTTTGGAGAAAAAGTCTGCAGGGTGGTGGCCCATCAGATGGGGCTGTTTTGACCTGAGCTTGCGTTGGTGTGCTGGCCTCTCCTGCGACCCCAATTCGGCCCTGCATGCTTGCAGTGCAGCCTTGAGTACCCTGGGGGCCTGCATCATAGATCCTGAACTGGCAGATCATGTCTGACTAGTAGACAGCTCCAGTGGGGTGACCCCATCCAGGCATCAGCCTGCCTGCTCTCTCTCCTCACTGCAGCTTCCCCCCAAGGCCCATTGCCACCCCACACATCACTATGCTGGTGTGTGTGTGTGTGTGTGTGTGTGCATGGAAGGATCTTGCTTTCCCTGCCCTGTCAGTGCACATGTGCATATGCATTCTGCCCTGGCACTGCTGTTGGTAGGAGTGTACTCCAGGCCCCCTCTCCTGCTATACCACCACTGCAGACAGAATCTTGGGGGAAACAGAGACCATCAGCCCCACAACACCAGCACCGTCCTCCTTTGTCAACACTGTCATTTGAGTACAACTAAGCACAAAAAACAGCATACTCTCCTCAGCCCTGAGCAGCCACCTTCGCCTACATGAATACACACAAAACCACTCGACTGAGACAACCTTATAACACAATTAAACCCTTAAGGTCATCAAGCAGAATAAAAGGAAAAATCCAAAAGTTGACAACTTCAAATATTAAAGAAATATCACCCCAGAAAGATAAGAAAGAACAAGCACAAAACCTCTGACAACTCAAAAAACCTGAGTTCCTCTTTTCCTTCAAATGGCCACACTACCTCTCCAGTAAGTTTATAAATCAGTCCAAGATAGCTAAAATTACAGAAATCAAATTCAGAATATGAATAGAAATAAAGATCATTAAAATGCAGAAGTAACTTGAAACTCAATTCAAAAACGTTAAGAATCATAATGAAATGATACAGGAGCTGAGAGACAAAAGAGCCAGTATTAAGAGCATAACTAACCTGAGAGAGCTAAAAATATCACACTAAATTTTTTTATAAGAAATTCACAACTATTAATAGTAGAATAGACAAAGCTAAGAAAGAATCTCAAAGTTTGAAGACTGTTTATGTGAAGTCAGACATACAGACAGAAATAAAAAAGAGTAATAAAAACCCCCAAGCCTCTGAAAAATATAAGATTATGTAAAGAGACCAAAGGTATGACCCACTGGTGTTCATGAAACAGGTGGGGAGAATGGAAGCCATTTGAAAAACATATTTTAGGATATCATTCATGAGAACTTCCCCAACCTGGGGAATGCTGGCTAGAGAGGCCAGCATTCAAATTTAGGAAATGCAGAAAACTCCAGTAAGATACTTCACAATATAATAATCACCAAAACACATAGTTATCAGATTGTTCAAGCATGAAATAAAAGAAAAAATGACAAATGCAGCTAGAGAGGAAAGGGAGGTCAACCACAAAGGAAAGATTATCAGTGTAAAAGTACACCTTTTAGCAGAAATCCTACAAGCCAGAAGAGACCAATACCAATATTTAACCTCCTTGAAGAAAATAAATTCCAATCAACAATCTCGTATTTGGCCAAACTAAGCTTCATAAGTAAAGGAGAAATAAAGTTCTTTTTAAACAGGCAAATGCTGAGGAAATTCATTACTACAAGACATGCCTTACAAGAGCTCCTGAAGGAAGAACTAAATATAGGTGAAAAAAACCTTTATTAGCCACTAAAAAAACACACTGAGGTATACAGACCAGTTGCGCACAAACAAGTCTGCATAATAAGCAGCTACCATTATAATGGCAGCATCAAATGCACACATATCAACACTAACTATGAATGTAAATGGGCTGAATGTTCCAATTAAAAGGCAAACAGTGGGAAACTGGATAAAGAACAAAGAACCAATGATATGCTGTCATCAAGACTCATTTCACATGCAATCAGTTTCATAGGCTGAAAATGACGGGATAAAAATCTACCAAGCAAATGGAAAACAGCAGAAAGAATGGGTTGCAACCCTAAGTTTAGACAAACAGACTTTAAAACAACAAAGATTTAAAAAGGCAAAAAGGCATTACAAAATGCTAAAGGGTTAAATTCAACAAGAATATATGTATTCATATTTAAATATATACATTTTAAATATATACACACCCAACACAGGAACACCCAAATTCATAAAGCAAGTTCTTAGAGGTCTTTAAAAAGACTTAGATTCCTACACAATTATAGTGAAAAACTTCAACAACCCATTGACAATATTAGATTATTAAGGCAGAAAATTAACAAGATATTCAAGATCTGAATGCAGCACTGGATCAAATGGATGTAACAGACACTTTCAGAACTCTCCACCAAAAACAACAACATATACGTTCTCATTGCCACATGGCACATACTCTAAAATCAACCACTTAATCGACATAAAACTGTTCTCAGAAATTATAAAAGAATTCAAATTATGACAACCACTCTCCGAGACCAGAGTACAGTAAAATTGGAGGTAAAAGTTGAGAAAACCAATACTCAATACCATATGATTACATAAAAATTAAATAACTCACTCCTGAATGACTTTTGTGTGAATAATGAAATTAAGGCATCAATCAAAAAGTTATTTGAAAGTAATGAGAACAAAGACACAACCTACCAGAATCCCTGAGATGCAACTAAATCAGTGTTGAGAAAAAAACTGATGTTGCTGAACACCCACCACAAAAAGTAACAAAGATCTCAATTTAACCACTCAATATCACAACTAAAACATCTAGAGAATGAAGAGCTATCCAACCCCAAAGCTGGAAGAAGACAGAAATAACCAAAATCAGAGATAAACTGAGATTAGGACACACACAAAAAAACTAAAAGATTAATGAATCCAGGAGTAGGTTTTGTTTTAAATGTGGACTACTAGCTAGACTAATATAGAGGAAAAGAGAGAAGATCCAAACAAAGACAATCAGAAACAACAAACGGGATATTACCACTGGCTCCTCAGAAATAGAAATAAACATCGGAGAATATGATGAACACCTTTATGCAAAAAAACTACAACACCTAGAACAAATAGATAAATTCCTGGACATGTACACCTTTCCAAGACTGAACCAGGAAGAAATTGAATCCCTGAACAGACCAATAACATGCTCCAAAATTGAATCTGTAATAAATAGACTATCAATTTTAAAAAGCCCAGGAAAAGACGAATTCCCAGCCAAATTCTACTGGATATGCAAAGAAGAATTTGGTATCATTCCTACTGAAACTCCCAAAAATTTGAGGAGGATCATCTTCCTCACTCATCCTATGAGGCCAGCACCCTTCTGATATCAAAACCTGGAAGAAAAGCAAAAGAAAGAAAAATTTCATATCTTTGATGAATATTGATGCAAAAATTCTCCATAAAATACTGGCAAACCAAATCCAGCAGCACACCAAAAAGCCTATCCACCACAATCAAGTAGGCTTTTTCCCTGGGATGCAAGGTTGGTTCAACATATGCAAATCAATAAATGTGATTCATAATACAAACAGAACGAAAGACAAAAACCTCATGATTATTGTAATAGATGCAGAAAGAGCTTTCATTAAAATTCAAAACCACTTTATGTTAAAACTCTCCATATACTAGGTATTGAGGAAACATGCTTTGAAATAATAAAAGTCATCTATGACAAACCCACAGCCAACTTTATACTGAATGGGTGAAACTGGAAGCATTTTTCTTGGAAACTGGCACAAGACAAAGATGCCCTCTCTTACCAGCCCTGTTCAACATAGTATTGAAAATCCTGGCCAGAGCAATCAGACAAGAGAAAAAAATAAAGGCATTCAAATAAGAGGAGAGGAAGTCAAACTACCCATTTGCAGATTGTATTAGTCAGTGTTCTGTGTTTATGGATTGGAAGAATCAATATTAAAATGTCCATGCTACACAAAGCAAGCTACAGATTCAACGCAATTTCTGTAAAAATACCATTGACATTCCTCACACAAATAAATACAACAGCTCTAAAAAATCTTAAATTTATATATAATCACAAAAGACCTAGAATAGCTAAAGCTATCCTGAGCAAAAAGAATAAAACTGGAGGAATCCCATTACATAGCATACATTATTACATTACACAAAATTATACTACCGATGTGTAGTAACCAAAACAGCATAGTACTGGCATAAAAACAGACACACAGGAAAATGGAGCAGAATAGAGAACCCAGAACCAAACCATCCATCTACAGTGAACTCATTTTTTACATAGGCACCAAGAAAATATATTAAGAATAAAAACTCAGTCTCTTCAATAAACAGTGATGGTAAATCTGGATATCCATATGCAGAGGAATAAAACTAGACCTCTATCTTTTGCCATGTGCAAAAACTAAATCAAAATGGATTAAATATTTAAATGTAAAACTGCAAACTATGAAACTTCTGAAAGAAAACATTGGGGAAATTCTAAAAAACCTTGGATTAAGCAAAGATTTCTTGAGTAACACCTCACAAGCACAGGCAACCAAAGCAAAATGGAAAATTGGTATCACACCAAGTTATAAAATTTTGCATGGCACAGAAAAGAATCAACAAAGTGAGAAAACAACCCACAGAATGAAAGAAAATATTTTCAAACTACCTATCTGAAAATGGATTTGTAACCAAAACATAGAAGGCGCTCAAATAACTCTATAGAAAATAAAATCTAATAATCCTATTTTAAAAAATAGGCAAAATATGTAAACAGACATTACTCCAATAAAGACACGCAAATGGCAAATAGGTATATGAAAAGATGATCAACATCATGAATCATCAGAGAAATGCAAATCAAAATTACAATGAGCTATTACCTCACCCCAGTTAAAGTGGGTTTTAGCTAAAAGGCAATAACAAATGCTGACAAGCATGCGGAGAAAAGGGAACCCTCATATGCTGTTGGTGGGAATGTAAGTTGGTGGAACCACTATGGAGAACAGCTTGAAGATTCATCAGAAAACTAAAAATAGAGCTTCTGTACAATCCAGCAATTTCACTGTTAGGTATATATCCAAAAGAGAGAAAAATCTGTGTATTGAAGTGATAGCTGTACTCCTGTGTTTACTGCAACACTATTCACAATAGCCAAGATTTGGAAGTAACATTGGTGTTTATCGACAGATGAATAAACAAAAAAGTGGTACATATACACAATGTAGTACTATTCAGACATAAAAATGAATGAGATTCAGTCATTTGTAAAAACATGGGTTAAACTGAAGGTCATTTTATTAAGTGAAATAAGCCAGGTATAGAAAGACAAACTTCACACGTTCTCACTTATTTGTTAAAGCTAAAAATTAAAACCAAAGAATTAATGGAGATAAAGAGTAGAATGATGGTCTCCAGAGGCTGAGAGAAGTAGTAGAAGGTTGAGGGCGGGGAGGTGGGAATGGTTAATGGGTATAAAAATATAGTTAGAAAGAATGAATCAGTTCTAGCATTTGACAGCACAAGGTGACTCTAGTTAAGAATAATTTAAGTGTACATTTTAAAATAACAGAAATTGTATAATTTGGTTATTTGAAATCCAATAGTAATACTGCATGTGATGAATACCCCATTGACTCTGATGTAATTATTACACATTGTATGACGGTATCAAAATATTCTATATACTTCATAAAGGTATACACCTACTATGCACCCAGAAAAACCAAAAATCAAAAAATTAGGATATACTTTAAGACAACAAATACTATTACTAGAGATGAAGATAGATTATAATTAGAAGGATAAATTCATGAGGAAAATAAATTAACATATATGAATGTGACAAAAGTTCACAGAAGTACATAAAGCAAAACTGATAGAAATAAAGGCAGAAATAGTTGCAACGATAGTTTCAACAATAAAAATTGCAAGCTTCACTTCCCCACTTACACTATTGGGTAGAAGAACTAGACATAAGAGAAACAAGGAAATAGAAGACATGAATAACATAAACCAAATAAAACTAGAGATATATGGAGAACTCTTCACCCCAAATCAGAATATATATTCTTCCCAAATGCACATAGAACATTCTCTAGAATGGAGAATATGCTGCATCATAAAAAAAATCAATAAAATTGAAAGATTGAAATAATAAAATGAATGTTTTCTAATCACAAAAGAGAAAATTAGAGACCAAAAAAGCAAGAAATTTGGGAAATGCAAACATGTGTGCATTAAATGACACAATCTTAAATAATTAATGAATAAAAAATGTACAAATAGTGTCAGAGAATATTTTAACATAAATAGACATTTAGACAAAACATAATAAAATTTATGAGACTTAGTGAAAGTTGAGCTCTGAGGGAAACAGCAGAATTACTTTATAAAAAACAAAGAAATCTTAAATTAATAGCTTAACGCTTATGGAAGCATTTAAATAAAAATGAACTACCCAGTTCACCTGGAGCAAACACTATCAGTGGGGTAAAAAGGTAGTCACGCTGACAATCGTAGGAGGAAATACTTGGAAACAAGACACTGAGAATTAGGATAGTGATAGTACTCCTTGGAATCTAGAAAAAAATGGGGATGCTCTAGGCTAGACAGATTCTCAGGAAAAACGCTAAAACACTAAGCTCCCACCTGTTTGTCTTTTAATCTCTGCATGAACAGAAAGTATAGGCACAAGCAGAGTTAGGACTTTATGGCACACATAGAGATTCTAGATGAAAGGATCAGAAGATTCATATTTTGAGAGGGCTAAAATATCTACAGTCTTGCTGTCCTATTAAAGTTTAGTGAAACTATATTGCAGATTCGCATTGCTCACTTCTTCCAGTAATCCAGTGATCTAGTAAAGCTTGATTTTGCCATTTGAATCCTCTGATAAATGAAGTCAGCCTCTAACTTGAGGTACTTTTTGGGATGTTGGAGTTATGGTCACCATGACGTTACTATTGGTTACACTAATTTGTAAGTCAACAATGAGCTTGCTACAGAGCTGTGAAACTGAATTCTGACCCCTGAGGGAGGTCGTTAGCTTGATCTTTCTGTTTTTAGATGGGTCGATTTGAACTCTATGAAAAAGACCACAGGAGGCCACTTGGTAAATAGAAATAACATATTCTAGAAGGAAATTAGACTAAAATAGAAACGGCACTAAAGTAAAAATTAAAATTCATATTCGGTAGAAATTTTATGCCACCCTCCACTATCTCAAGCAAACTTTCTGACTCTGTGGGACTCCCCAATTTACTGAATATTTTCTAAATATCTGTTCCTGGTTCACTAATGGGCCAGGGAAGATGACACCTCATGGTGTTCACTGGGCTGGTGTGGGTGTTTGATCTCATTGTCAGCCAATGAAGAACCTGAATCTGGGGTGATTACTTCACTCAATTGTCAGAACTGAGAGTTCCGGGTTATTGCCACATTCTACGTGTTTAGGCTTCCATATTGAAAATGATTAACTGTCTAATTAAGAACATCTTCTTTGGGGCTGCAAACTGAAATTTATCTTAGCTGCTGATCTAATTGTCAGGCCATTAATTTAGAAGTTCACAATTAGGGTTATGTCTCCAAAGAGATGAACAACAATCAAGCCTAAATCCCTGTCTACTGCAGAGGTCATCACTGCATGCCAGGTTGGTGGTTCTTGGAGAAAGTTGATCTACGTGTCCCATGTATGGGGAAGTCCCAGACCATTTCTGGCAGAATGACTGTCTTAGACTTTTGACCCGTTACTTGAAGTATTTGTCACTACTGTTGACACTTTCAGCATAAAGATCAGCTGACTCCAGCCACATTATGTGTTACTTGAAGCTAATCCATGTCATCTTTTAGGTATTTGAGACCGCTTAAATTCTCTCTCTTTTTTTTTTTTTTTGCTTTTATCACCATATCTATTAAAATGAGCCAATAGTCTCATTTTAACTTATTTTCCTCATCAGGGTCCACAGCTTTTGGTTAGGTAATGTGTTGATTAAATGGTTTATTAGTCACCTTCTTTGGTCCCAGAAGAGATTATCTCCTGTTGACTGTCTCTAAGATATAGATAACATTGTTATTGAGTAAAAGGAGCTCACTTCTTGAAGTGCTAGAAGCCAATACTATGACATCAGGTTTTTAAGAGAAAGCAATTTTATACTGAAACGTTACTCTCAAGCTCATTGCCTCCTCATGGATGTCATAGGCAAACTGAAGGGGAGTTGTGATGAAACAGGCAGTGAAAATTCAGACGGTGACCTCAGCAAGGTGATTCTGCCAAAACACCATTTGGCCATAATGATTCCACCAATTTAAGCCAGTTTGTTTATTTCATAAGTAGAGGGAGTTTCAGTGTTTTGGCAAGTTGTGTTTTTGTTTTTTTTTTCTTTTCTGTTATTCTGCAAGCTCAAGATTTTCTGTTAGATACTGGCTTTCTTTTAACTCTGCAGAAGTGTTGCAAAATGATTGGGGCTATAGGAATCTATTTTCCAAATCTGAGTTTCCACACTGACATTCCTGGGCAAGATGTGATTTCTCCTAACTGCAACCTCCAGGCAGCCTGGTTTGTATGATTTCTGAGTAGCAGCCCAGTCAAAAAAGGGGTTATGGAACTCCAATTTAGTTCTGATTATGGTGTATATAAACATTCTTGTCTCTATTACAACTGGATCTACTACATAAAATGTCTACAGCAAAATAGGAGGGGATCAGATAAAGGTACAATTATAAGTATTGGAATGGATCACATTAATTCTGAGGATATAGAAGGGGAGCAACAACCTGAAACCAGGGGAGTGAACGACTTAGATCTCAGGAGCTATGGGAAATGGATAGGCATGAATAACCTCTTTTCCTTCTGAATTGCCCCTGGCACACTCCAGAAAAGTCTGGCAATAATTTTGGGATAGGATGAGAGTAGGGTTAGTTAGACCAGGTGGAAGTGCAAAGACTAAGTTTATTTTTTCCATTCCATCCCCCATATCACCCTTAAGAATCCTTTGGGCTGGGCACAGCAGCTCACACCCAGCACTTTAGGTGACCAAGGAGGGTGGATAACGAGGTCAGGAAATCGAGACCATCTGGCCAACATGGTGGAACCCAGTCTGTACTAAAAATATAAAAATTACCCAGGCAAGGTGGCACATGCCTGTAGTCCCAGCTATTTGGGAGGCTGAGGCAGGAGAATTGCTTCAACCTGAGAGACCAAGGTTGCTGTGAGCTGAGATGATGCCACTGCACTCCATCTTGGATGACAGAGGAAGACTCCATCTCAAAAAAAAAAAAATCCTTTGTAATTATCCCATTTCTCTGCAATGTAGTAATGAAATTCTAGTGAGGAGCATGCGTTCTCAGTGCCCAGTTGTCTGAGGCCACAGTTGAGTTGCTTCAGGGAAAAAACAAACAAAAAAAAAAAACCAAAACGAAAACACAAAAGCAAAAGCAAAAACAAAAACAAAAAACCCTATTGCTTTTGTTTTTTTCTAAAAAGATTAAATGCCCCATGGTTTAAAATAAGCTGGCTCTACAAAACATTGAATTCATCTTTTATTTTCTCTGTGAGCAGAGGCTCCTCCTTCTGTTTTTCTACCATCTAGAGATGAATCTATATTTGTCAATATTGACATAAATTGGAGACATAAATCATGTAAGAACCCTAGACAAGCCTTCAAAATAATCTGAGTCTTGCTCGTTTCTCTTCTCAATTATGTTGTCAGAGAGAGCTACCTGAGATGAAGTCTCTCAGGAATAGTTAGAACATTGCACTTCTAGAGAAGATGGTGAGACAGGGCAAGACTCACAGTGAGAATAAAAGCTTCTTCTCAATCTTTCAGTGTATCTGTTTCTGGTAGATGAATCCAGAAAAGATTCCAGAGCCAGGGAAGAGCTATTTGAGAGGGTAGAATCACTGTAGATCAGAGTACTAGGTCATATGTTTATTAGTCACCTTCTTTGGTCATATTCTCAGTGCTAAGCCTCTGATAGGGCTTCAGAGCAATGTATGCCTGTGAAAATCTCTAATTCCATTTGAAAGATGAAGTTCTGGCTCTGGGAGAAGTCTCCTATCTGACAGAACATCATGCTTCTGTGGGCATGAGATTCTGTGCCCTTCCTCAGCAGACACCACTGACTCAATAATTGTTTAAGAATCATGCATAAATAGGCCTTCCTTATCATGAATCTCTTAAATAACAAAACAGAGAAAACCCATTTATCCACGTTCAAATTGAATAAGAGTGTAAGAAACTTCACAGAAATTGTTATAGAAGGAAACTCTTGGGCTCTGTCCATCCCCAGAAATCTCAAAATTCTGGCACAATCTGTTACAATTAACCTTATCAGAGCTTGAATTTTTTTTTTGCTATATATATTTACCTTTAATTGGACCTTAATTTTGTTATATGTTTTAATTTAATTTTATTTTTTTGATGGAGTCTTGCTGTGTCTCCGAGGCTGTAGTGCACTGGTGTGATCTCAGCTCACTGAAAGCTCCACCTCCTGGGTTCACACCTTTTTCCTGCCTCAGCTTCCCTAGTAGCGGGGACTACAGGCGCCCGCCACCACACCCAGCAATGTTTTTGGACTTTTACTAGAGACGGGGTTTCACCGTATTAGCCAGGATGGTCTCGATCTCCTGACCTTGTGATCCGCCTGCCTTGACATCCCAAAGTGCTTGGATTACAGGCTTGAGCCATCATGCCCGGCCAAGGATAAACCATTGTTTAACCTTTGTGATAGAAACATCAAATTCCCATATCCCAAGCATTAATAATACTGTCCACTGCAATTGTTATTGCTTATTAACTTTTTGCTATGGTCTGGATATTTGTGTTCCTCACTCTCCACATTCATATTTAAAAACTTAATCCACACGTGGATTCAGTGTGATACTATTAGTTATTGGAACTTTGAGAAAGTTATTAAGTCAGGAGGGCTGCATGTTAACGAGAAAATAATAGTGCCCGTGTGACGGAGGTTGAAAGGAATATTCATGCCCCTTCTGTCGTGTGAAGACATAGCTAGAAGGTGCTACTTGTGAGGAACAGAACCTCAAAGAAAGAGCCTCAGAAAGTTGTTATACAGCAGAACATCTTTCTCTCTTGAGAGATTCTGGCCAACAGTGCTGTATGGTCGACTGTCTTTAGAATGTGAGTTTTTGGTTACCAGAATACTTAGTACTGTTAGGGCCTTTCACCAAAGAAATGAGGTCACTTCTTGAAGGTATTATTCTTCTTTCAATAAGACCTATCTTCCTTCAATAAGACCTACTCAAAGGCTTTTCTGCACTGCTGACTGCTCACCATTCTCTCCCAAGTCATCTGATTACTTGTGCACAATTATGCAAATACAGCACCTCCTGCACCAGTCCCGGAGGAAATGGAATGCAGCCAGAGCCGCAAGTTTGAGGATACAAGCTGAGTTAAAGTCTTTATGTTTAATGTATTAATTCTGTGATGCCAAGTATGTCATTGTGCCTCTCAGGGGCTCCATAGTCTCACAGCCTGCACAGTGGGGATTATGGTGGCATCCAGCTGCAAGGGATCTCATGAGATATGTATAAAATGATACGCATGACTGTTGGGTTTGATATTAAACACAGCTACTGCATAAACTTAGAGAAAGAAACTACAAGGGATGGGACATTGCTTGAATATCTCTCAAACATGCCTGGGTTTTATAACTTGAATCTTGAGAAAGTCATGTCCCCTCTTGAATTTATTTTTCAAACTCCACCATGAAAACATTGAAATTGAATAAAATTTAGATGTTGTTATTCTTTGGCCAGAACAACAACAATAACAACAACACACATTGTAGTACCTTCTCGTTATATTTAGAATCAGGCCCATTTGTCTCACCTTGGCATACATAGTGCACAGCCTTCATGATGGCTCATAATAATTTTTATTTCCAACTATACACACCCAAATGTAAACAGTAAGTGGTTAGTGACTCACTTCATGGCAGTAGAATACATTGGAAAATAGGGAATGTCACTTCCAATATTTGATTATGAAAAGATTGTCACTTGCTTCTTACTTTCTCTCTCTTGTGATATTGTTTACTTCCTTTTTTCCTGTCTTTCTCTCTGTCTGTCGCATACTTTGCTCTGGAGAAGCGAGCTTCAGTGTTTTAAGCTTTCATTTTTACAGGCTTGTGTGACAGAGAATGGAGAGAGTGCCCTGACCAAAGACAGAAAGAAACTAAGAACTGAGTCAAAACAATAATGCACAACTAACCAGATTGAGCTCAGAAGTGCATCCTTCCCAGTCAAGCTTCAGTTGAGACACAGCTTCAGTCTCATGAGTGAGAGGTGACAGCATGCTGGCAGCCCTCACAGCCCTCGCTCACTCTTGGTGCCTCCTCAGCCTTGGGGCCCACTCTGGCCGCGCTTGAGGAGCCCTTCAGCTCACCGCTGCACTGTGGGAGCCCCTTTCTCAGCAGGCCAATGCCGGAGCCGGCTCCCTTATCTTGCGGGGAGTGGGCAGGAACCGAGGCTGCCCGCGGTGCTTCCGGGCCAACGCGAGTTCCGGGTGGGCGTGGGCTTGGTGGCCCCGCACTTGGAGCGGCCAGCTGGCCCTGCCAGCCCCAGGCAGTGAGGGGCTTAGCACCTGGGCCAGCAGCTGCTGTGCTCGACTTCTCGCCAGGCCTTAGCTGCCTCCCCACGGGGCAGGGCTCGGGAACTGCAGCCCGCCTTGCCTGAGCCTCTCCCCCACTCCGGCCAAGGGCTCCTGTGCGGCCCGAGCCTCCCCAACGAGCTCCACCCCCTGTTCCATGGCACCCAGTCCCATCAACAACCCAAGGGCTGAGGAGTTCGGGAGCACAGCGTGTGACTGGCAGGCAGGCAGCTCCACCTGCGGCCCTGGTGTGGGATCCACTGGGTGAAGCCAGCTGGGCTCCTGAGTCTGGTGGGGACTTGGAGAAAATTTATGTCTAGATAAGGGATTGTAAATACACCAATCGACACTTTGTATCTAGCTCAAGGTTTATAAACACACAAATCAGCACCCTGTGTCTAGCTCAGGGTTTGTACATACACCAATCAACACTCTGTATCTAGCTAATCTAGTAGAGACGTGGTGAACTTTTGTGTCTAGCTCAAGGATTGTAAATGCATCAATCAGCACCCTGTGAAAAGGGACCAATCAGCTCTCTGTAAAACAGACCAATTGGCTCTCTGTAAAATGGACCAATCAGCAGGATGTGGGTGGGGCCAGATAAGAGAATAAAAGCAGCTGCCTGATCCAGCAGTGGCAACCCTCTCGGGTCCCCATCCACACTGTGGAAGCTTTGTTCTTTTGCTCTTTGCAATAAATCCTGCTGCTGCTCACTCTTTGGGTCCACACTGCCTTTATGAGCTGTAACACTCACCACAAAGGTCTGCAGCTTCACTCCTGAGCCAGAAAGACCACGAACCCACCAGAAGAAAGAAACTCCAAACACATGCTGACATTAGAAGGGAAAAACTCCAGGCACGCTGCCTTTAAGAACTGTAACACTCACCGTGAGGGTCCGCGGCTTCATTCTTGAAGTCAGTGAGACCAAGAACCCACCAATTCCGGACACATGAGGACATTGTGGTAGACCCATTCAACTAAGCTGTGTCAGTATTTGTAGCCAACAGAAAATAAGACATAATGCATATTTGGAATTTTAAGCCACTACACATTGAGCTAATGAGTAGAATTATTTTTTCTAATTTTATTTACTGATTGCCCCCAGTTACTGTATAAAAGTGCAATTTAATATTGTGCATTTATCTTGTATCTTGTGACCTGCTGAACTCATTTATTAGTTCCAGTTGATTTTTGTAAACTCTTTAAAAATTCTTGAATATAAGTTGATGCCATTTACAATAAAAGTTTATTTTATAAATTTAGAAGTTTTATTTGTTTTTATTATATAATTTCTCTGCCTAACACCTTTAGTTCAATTTAGTAGAGTAGCGAAAGTAGCCATGCTTATCTGTTTCCCACAACTGTGAGGCAAAGAGCCTAGTCTTTCATCAGCAAGTGTAATATTAGTGGGAAATTTTCATGAATCTTTTTTAGTAGTTCCAGTAAGTTTTTCCTTCCTAGTATGTTAAGGATTTTATAATGAATCAGTGTTGTTTGTATCACAAGCTTTTCTGTGTCTATTAAAAGGATCATTTTATGTTCTTCACTTTATCAATGTTGTGTATTAAATTATTGGTTTTTAGATATTAAGCCACTTCATTTGTAAAAAGATTGTACTTGGCCATGGTGTATAATTACTTTTACGTGTTTCTGTATTTAACTTATTAGTACTTTTTGAGAATTATGTGTCTTTATTTATCAGCCGTATGTACCCATATTAATCCTAACACATGATGGGTTTGTCTGGCTTTGGTATAGTAATATTGGCCTCATAAAGTAGTTAGGGGTTGTTTATCTCTTATCTATGTATGGTGTGTATTTGTAAAGGATTGGTATTTTTATGAAATATTTTGTATAATTTAACAGTTAAAGTATTTGACTCTCATTTTTCTTTGTGGTAAGATTTTTAAAATAATTTAATCTTTCATTATAGGTCTCATATCTTCCACTTCTTGAGCTTCATTTGTTAAATTGGGCCTATCAAGTTATTTACTTCTAATTTGTAACAATCCATGTTTCCAGATCTAAGCAGCTGGTATGCCTGTTATGTGGGATAATGTAGCTTTGTGAAAGTTTTATGTATTACGTGGGATAATGTAGCTTTGTTAAAATCAATAAATAGCCAAGTTTTTCCTCAGCTTAAGGATTGAGACTATAATTTTTATACTTCATACTTGCATGTATTGCCTGAGTCAAAAAAGCTATTACATCTAAAAGAAACCAGTGAAACATATCATTTGACATGAAGTTTTATCAAAATGACACATTAGCCTAACCCCTTTTTCACAAATATTTAGAAAAGAAAAGAATAAATTTAAATAAGATTACAAAATAATTTAGTAAATAAAGAATATTATAAGGAATAAAAATTTAATGAATCAGGGTTATTAGTACTTAGTAGCCCCTACAATGTTTTAGAAATTATTCTAAGTCATTTACCCACATATACTTAATAGCTGACTCTAAAATATATAATACAGAAATTTGTTAATAATGACAAATTGAAATATTTACAATTATATTAAATGACATTAAGACCATCAGAAATCAAATGTTTAACATACAGTAACTAAATAAACACAAGTAATGATAAATAACTTTATTAGAAAGTATGACTACTAGCAAGAGAGAAAAATTAATAAAATTTTTCAGCAGTGAACCAAAGATACACACTGTATGACAGAGGGGGAAAATAAATGGCAAGAGTTTAGGCCTAACAATATCATTCATTTCATGAGAGCAGAAATTCAACAGGTCATATCTTTTAGGACACTAAAATGACAGTAGAAATTCTAAATTGTACTCAACAAGTAATATTTAGCCATGCACAAATTTTGTTTCATTAAATTAATTTATAAAATAAATATAAGATTCCATGAATTATTTTTGTGAGGCCAAGGACATACTAAAAGGAAGCACAGAGTTCTGTTCTCTGTAGTTAAGTATATATTTTCATAAAGGCACATAAAAGAAAATTTTAAGTATCAAAAGAACTACCCCTTACAAGTGACTATTACTACATATTTGAGAGAGATGTTTTGAATGAAGAAACGGAATATCTCATAATATGTGGTTGTATGCTGCCCAATGCCTATGAAATATTCTACTCATGTGTACACTGCATATTTGTGCTTTCAGAAGAAAAGGCTACATATTTTTAAATATTTTAGTGTAGACAAGTAAAAGTTCTCAAGAAGCTACAAGAACTATGAAAATAATGAATACAGTTTAAAAATATATAAGCACTTGATGAAAGCTAAAGTAAATCAAGAGAATAAGCCAGAGAAGTAATCAAACTGAAAAAAAGTGGTCCCTTCAGATACTGATAGATCACAAGGATGTCAAGTCTGTATGCTGTCCACCTTCCTCCAAGGGAAAATGGAATAAGCACAGAAATAACATGACTACAGACATCTCAAATGTGATATTTCCCAAATATTGGAACCAAGTTAAAAACTAAAGAACACAAGTAAATAAAAATAAATTTCTGAAGAAAAACTAGGCCATCATTTTCCATATTCAAATATCATATTTGAATCACAGCTCGGTAGAATGTAAAGAATAAAAAAATTAGGACAAGGTATAGGTGAAACACTAAATTAAACAGAGATAAAAAATTACCTGAGTATTGAATAGAATGAATATAACCAAATATAGTAAAGAGAGATGACATATTATAAGATATAGTTTTAACAAGATAAAGGCTGGGATGAGACACTAAACATCTTAATTATTTTATTAGAACAAAAAGTATGAATGAGGCAGAGCAAATAAGGCCAGCCCGATCCAAGATTTGGGAAAAGAAAATCTTTCCCTCCATGGAAGCATCCTCAAGTGTACATTGCAGAGGGCCCAGATCAGAGAGGAATGAGAAGTGATTGCCATTCTTGCAATCAGTGTTATGCGTTTTCTTGCAGCCCAGGTTTATATAACTGTTGTAAGTCCAGTAAATTGTCTATAGCTGCACATCTATTAAGAGGCTGAGACAGCAGTCAGGACCAACTTTGCTAAATGTCCACAAACTACTCTACCTCATGGAAATTCTCTGGATCTTGGAGACTCTGGAGAGTGACACTTCTGCAAATAGAGGCATAATTTATTTGAGATTTTTATCCATCTGTTATTATCCTTTACTGTTAGGAATAATCTCCTCTGAAAAATGCTTTTGACCCACCTTGGAAGGTCTTTTAATAGTTTGGGAAAGTGGGGCATGGCAAGGTGGCTCATGCCTGTAATCCCAGCACTTTGGGAGGCTGAGATGGGTGAATCATGAGGTCAGGAGATCCAGACCATCCTGGATAATACGGTGAAACCATGTCTCTACTAAAAATACAAAAAAGTAGTCGGGCGTGGTGGCAGGTGCCTGTAGTCCCAGCTACTTGGGAGGCTGAGGCAAGAGAATGGCATGAACACGGGAGGTGGAGCTTGCAGTGAGCCGAGATAGCTCCACTGCACTCCAGCCTGAGAGACAGAGCAAGACTCCATCTCAAAACAACAACAAAAAAAAAAAATTGGGAAAATGGCTGAGGGCTGAGGTTAGAAATCCAAGGTAAAACATTATGTTATATATTTTACATCATAGAAGAAATTTGAAAACACATAGAATACAATCCGCTATTCATAATTTTTTTTGAGCATTTTCAGGCTATGTTTTTGACATAGACTAAGTTGAATTACTGTGCCAGAGACAATCTCGTCTCTAAAAGCAAATGACATAAAAATAGATCTGCAAAGATACATTTTCTCCTGCTGCAATTTAAGTAAACAGCTGAGTACATCTTCAAGTTGTACTTTGAGTTCAGTAAGATAAATCTGTTTTTTAAGACTCCAAATCTAGCACTAACAATGGGTCAAATCCCTGCAACAGACATGAAAATCACAAACAGCTAATGTGTTCCTCATCCTGAAATTCTCGCTGCCAGCACAGCAGTCTGAAGTTGACCTGGGCCAACTGAGCTCAGTTGGGGGGAGTGGAGTCCACCATTACTGAGGCTTTAGTAGACAGTTTTCCCCTGACAGTGCCAAGGAGGCTGGAAGGTCCGGGTTGGGTGCAGCAAAGTGGCTGTGGCAGACTGCTTCTTTAGAGTCCTCCTCATTGGGCAGGGCATATTTGAAGGAAAGGTAACAGCCCTAGTCAGAGGCTTACACAGAAAACCTCCATCTCCCTGGGACAGAGCACATGGGGGAAGGGGAGGCTGTGGGTGCAGCTTCAGTGGATTTCATCATTCCTACCTGCCGGCTCTGAAGAGAGCAGCTGATTTTGACTAGAGGGATTCTGCCAGCATAGTGCACCAGCTCTGCTAAGAGACTGTCTCCTCAAGTGGGTTCCCCGTGACTCCTGACTGGGAGAAACCTCCTAACAGGGGTTGACAGACACCTCATACAAAAGGGCTCCATTTGGCATTGGGCGGGTATCCTCCTGGGATGAAGTTTCCAGAAGAAGGAGAAGGCAGCAATCTTTGCTGTTCTGCAGCCTTTACTGGTGACACCCAGGTGAACAGGGTCTGGATTGGAACTCCAGCAAACTGCACTGGACCTGCAGAAGAACCTTGCTGTTAGAAGAAAAACTAACAAGCAGAAAGCAACAACATCAACATCAACAGAAAGGACCCCCCCAAAAAAAACCCCATCCAAATGTCATCAGCCCCAAAGATTGAAAGTAGATAAATCCATGAAGATGAGGAAAAACCGGCACAAAAATGCCAAAAATTCCAGAAACAAGAATGCCTTTTCTCCTCCAATGATCACAACACCTCTCCAGTAATGACACAAAACTGGATGGAGAATGAGATTGAAGAATTGACAGAAGTAGGCTTCAGAAGGTGGGTAATAATAAACTCCTCTGAGCTAAAGAAGCATGTTCTAACCCAATGCGAAGAAGCTAAGTATCTTGATAAAAGGTTATGGGAACTGCTAACTAGAATAACCAGCTTAGAGAGAAACATAAATGGCCTGATGGAGCTAAACAATGCCTTTAAGTTATATGGGACTATTTGAAAAGACCAAACCTACGATTGATTGGTACACCTCAAAGTGACAGGAAGAATGGATCCAAGCTAGAAAACAAACTTTAGGATATTATCCAGGAGAACTTCCTCAACCTAGCAAGACAGGCCAACATTCAAATTCAGAAAATACAGAGAACATCACTAAGATGCTCCTCGAGAAGAGCAACTCCAAGACACATAATCGCCAGAGTCTCCAAGGTTGAAATGAAGGAAATAATGTTAAGGGCAGACAGAGAGAGAAGTCAGGTTACCTACAAATGGAGGCCCATCAGACTAACAGCAGATCTCTTTGCAGAAACTCTACAAGCCAGAAGAGAGTGGGGGCCAATATTCAACATTTTTAAATAAAATAATTTTCAACTCAGAATTTCATATCCAGCCAAACTAATCTTCAAAAGCAAAGGGGAAATAAAGTCCTTCACAGACAAGCAAATGCTGAGGGATTATGTCACCACCAGGCATGCCTTACAAAAGCTCCTGAAGGAAACACTAAATATGGAAAGGAAAATATGGTTCACCACTGCAAAACCACACCAAAATATAAAGACCAATCGATACTATGAAAAAACTGCATCAACGAATGTGCAAAATAACCAGCTAGCATCATGATAACAGGATCAAATTCACACACAACAATATTAACCATAAATATAAATGGGCTAAATACCTCAATTAAGAGACAGAGCCTGGCAAATTGGTTAAACAGTCAAGACTCTTTGGTGTGCTGTATTCAGGAGACACATCTCACATGCAAAGACACACATAGGCTCAAAATAAAGGGAAGGAGAAATGGCAAATGGAAAGCAAAAAAAGCAACAACAACAACAAAAAAAGCAAGGTTTCAATCCTAGTTTCTTGTAAAACAGACTTTAAACCAAGATGAAAAAAGACAAAGAAGGGCACTACATAAAGGTTAAGGGATCAATGCAACAAGAAGAGCTAACTATCCTATATATATACCTACCCAACAGAGGAGCACTGAGATTCATAAAACAAGTTCTTAGAGACCTATAAAGAGACGTAGACTCCCACACAATAACACTGGGAAGTTTTAACACCCCACTGCCAATATTAGACAGATCAATGAGACAGAAAATTAACAAGGATATTCAGGGTTTGAAATCAGCTCTGGACTAAGCGGACCTAATAGACAACTACAGAACTCTCCATGCCAGACGAACAGAATATACATTCTTCTCCATGCCACGTAGCACATATTCTAAAATTGACCACATAATTGGAAGCAAAACACTCCTCAACAAATGGAAAAGAATGGCAACCATAACAAACTGTCTCTCAGACCACAGTGCAACCAAATCAGAACTCAGGATTAAGAAACTCACCAAAAACCACATAAATACATGGAAATTGAGCAACCTGCTCCTGAACGACTACTGAGTAAATGACAAAATTAAGAGAGAAATTAAGTTTTTTTGAAACAAATGAGAACAAAGAGACAATGTACCAGAATCTCTTGGACACAGCTAAAGCAGTTTTAAGAGGGGATATGCTAGCACTAAATGCCCACAACAGAAAGCTGGAATGATCTGAAATCGACACCCTAACATCACAATTAAAACAACTAGAGAATCAAGAGGAAACAAATTCAAAAACTAGCTGAAGGAAAGAAACAACTAAGATCAGAGCAGAACTGAAGGAGATAGAGACAAGAAAAACTGTTCAAAATCAATGACTCCACTAGCTGGTTTTTTGAAAAGATTAACAAAAGAGATGGACCACTAGCTAGATTAATAAAGAAGAAAAGAGAGAAGAATCAAATAGACACATTAAAAAATGATAAACAGGATATCACCACTGATTCCACAGAAATAAAAACTACCATGAGAGAATACTATAGACATCTCCACACAAATAAACTAGAAAATATAGAAGAAATGGATACATTTCTGGACACATACACTTTCCCAAGACTAAGCCAGGAAGAAGTTGAACCCCTGAGTAGACCAATAACAAGTTCTGAAATTGAGGCAGTAATTAATAGCCTACCAATAAAAAAACGCTCAGAACCAGATGGATTCACAGCCGAATTTTACCAGAAGCGTAAAGAGCAGCTGGTAACATTTCTTCTTAAACTATTCCAAACAATTGAAAAGGAGGGACTCCTCCCTAATTCATTTTATGAGGTCAGCATCATTCTGATACCAAAATCTCGCAAAGACACAACCGCAACAAAAATTTCAGGCCAATATCCCTGATGAACATCGATGTAAAAATCCTCAATAAAATACTGGCAAACTGAAACCAGCAGCACATCGAAAATGTTATCCACCATGATCACATCAGCTTCATCCCTGGGATTCAAGGCTGGTTCAACGTATGCAAATTAATAAATGTAATCCATCACATAAACAGAACCAATGACAGAAACCACAGGATTTTCTCAATAGATGCACAAAAGGCCTTTGATTAAATTTAATATCGCTTCATGTTAAAACCTCTAAATAAACTACGTATTGACGGAAAAAGTCTCGAAATAATCAGAGCTGTTTATGACAAACCCCTAGCCAATATCATACTTAATAGGCAAGTGCCGGAAGCATTCCCTTTGAAAACCAGCACAAGACTAGGATGTCCTCCCTCAGCACTCCTATTCAAGATAGTATTGGAAGTTCTGGCCAGGGTAATCAGGCAAGTGAAAGAAATAAAGGGTATGCAAATAGGAAGAGAGGAAGTCACACTGGTACCAAAACAGATATATAGACCGATGGAACAGAACAGAGACCTCAGATTGCAGGGATATGGAGGAAGCTGGAAGCCATCATTCTCAGCAAACTAACAGGAACGGAAAACCAAACACCACATGTTCTCACTCATAAGTGAAATTTGAACAATGAAAACACATGGACACAGGGAGGGGAACATCACACATCAGGGCTTGTCAGGGGGCAAAGTGAAGGAGAGCATTAGGACAAATATCTAATATATGTGGGGCTTAAAACCTAGCTGACAGTTTGATAGATGCAGCAAACCACCATGGCAAATATAAAACTATGTAACAAGTCTGCACATTCTGCACATGTATCCCAGAATTTAAAGTATAAATACATAAATAAATCTCCAGCAAGGAAGGAAACCAGAGATCAGGTTAGAGTCTTGCTATTCACATCTGAGTATACAGACTCAGTCCCCAACTCTCTTATTTTTATTCTGCCAGCTCTGACCTGAATATGAACATAACAGACACACAAGAGTTCCAACACCTGACAATCGGCTTCTGCCCAAGAAGAGTGCCCTCTCTTTTGTCCATCCTGCAACTCATGGTACAAAGAAGTGGCGTGGGGCTGCCCAGATGAGATGATGAGAGAGGCCTGGCCTCGATGGACATGTCCTGGGCTGCTCTGTGTTATCTGTAGGTGCACTTGGCCAATGGCCAGGGGTATCAGGAATGAGGGCTGAGTTGATATCTGTGTTATCAGAGAAGGCTTTTACATTGAGGCTTTGTAAGGCTAGAACTCAGAAATATCAAGGCACAATGAAAGGACATCTCACTCTCTTGAGCATCTGTCACCAACAGAGGTGGATACAGAGCTGTCTCAAGAATGTGGGTTCCTGGTTTCTTAACTGCTGTGGGGTTCTGTCACCAGGAAAGTGTGTTAAACTCTTCAAGGTTCCATCTACTGGGCCCCTTATTTCTATAAGACCTACCCAAAGGCCCCACTATGCTATTGATTGCTCAGTCTCCTCTTCCATGTCAACTCTTTATTTGTACACAATTATGCAAACACAACTTCCCCTTAATTCCCTGGAAAGACCTAAATGCATCCTGGGTTCCAGGATATAAGAGACAGCTGGAAAATAACCTTGTTTTTCTTACCATCTCTGGGACCTAATAAAAGTCACTGTGTATTTGAGGCTTCCCCAGCCTCCTAGCGTGCACAGTGGGGATAATGTTATCTACTTCCTAGGGAATGTATCAGATGTATATAAGATAAAATGTAAAAATCGTGGTGTAGTTTCACATGTAAATAATGCACACACTTAGAGATGGAAGCATTAGGAGAATAGGTGGGAGGTAGCATGGGCCACAACTCAGGTAGGCCTGGGGTCCAGCAGTGTAATCTTGGGAAAGTCACTTCCCCACTGGGCTTCAGTTTCATTCTGCTGCAGTACGAGGTTGAAATTAAATGTAGATATCATCCTCTGGCACTGATGTGGTTTAGCTGTGTGTCCCCACCCAAACCTCATTTTGTATTATAACCTCCAGGTGTTAAGGGAGAAACCTGAGGGGAGTTGATTGGATTATGGGGACGGGTTTTTCTTATGCTGTTCTTGTGATAGTGAGTGAGTTCTCAAGAGATCTGATGGTTTCATAAGCTTCTGGTGTATCCCCTGCTCTCACTCACTTCACTTGTTGGCCACCATAATTGGAAGGTTTCTGAGCCTCCCCCACCCAATCTTGTGGAACTGTGAGTCAATTAAACCTCTTTTCTTTATAAATTACCCAGTCCCAGGTATTCCATCATTGCGGTATAAAAATGGACTAATACAACTATTAAACTTTCTAGTGACTTCTTATTATATATAGAATTATATCCATGTGCCTTATCTCACCTAAGTTGGGGAAAGCCTTCACAAAGTCTCCCAGCACTAGGTGGTTAGTGACTCAGTTTGTTATTGAACAAAATGACCTACTGCTCGATGCCAGTAGTATGGCACTTGGGTTTTGAGAAAAATGGCATCTTGTTGTAGGTTGGCCAACAGGAGACAGGAGTCCAGCTGAAATCAGTTTCCTTATATAGGCTTTAAGGTGTTGATTAAAAAATGCTTAAGAAGTGGGCTCTGGATTAGGAGGGGATTGCTGGAAGGAAAGTAGTAATATGGAAAGTCATGAGACATGCACAGTCATCTCCTCTTGTTTCCTCACAGGTCACATGAATATTCAGGGAGAGTTAATATGAAACATGCAACGGAAATTTGGGCTCTAACATCAGCAAACTCATTCTCCATGGACTTCAGTTGGCCATATTGCTTCCAACATATTTCAGCCAATTTTTTAAAATCTTATAAGCAGAGGAGATTTAAGTGTTTCAACAAGCTGTTTCTTATCTTTCATTCTGAATATCCAATTTTTAAGTCTTTTTTTTTTAACAGTTTGAAGGCACAAATTCAGCTTCTGTCAAATGGAATACAGAATAGTGTATGACTTTTGTATTAGTTCAGGCTGCTATACCAAAGAACCATGAACTAGACAGCTTATAGACAACAGGATTTAATTTCTCACACTCCTAGAGGTTGGAAATTTGAGATCAGGGTATCAGCATGGTTGAGCTCTGGTGATGACTCTTCTGAATTTCAGACTGCACACATCAAATTTTATTCTCATTTGGTAGAAGGAGACAGACATCCCTCTGGGGTTTCCTGTATAAAGCCAGTAATCTCAATCATGATGGCCTCAACCTCAGGAGTTAATTACAACCTATCTCCTTATAGCATTACACTGGGGGTTACAATTTTAATACAAATTATTGTAACTCTCAAGTTTTTTTAAAGCTGTCATTATTCCTCCTACTGGGTTTTTCCTATTTGCTTCCTCAGTCTTTCCATTTCTTTATGTCTCTTTGTGTGAAACTGTTTGCCTAATTCTGTCTCTCAATTGTATTCCTCAAACAGAGGAAGCAAGCTCCAATGCTATGAGATGCTCTATGTACAGACGCACATAACAAAGAACGGAGGGAGTGCTCAGGCAGTAGACAGAAGTAAAGTCATGCTCTCAGTCTACTCTGAACCCTGCCAATTTTCACAAGCATGAGCTTAAAGGTTGATGCTTTTCCGGTCCACATTCAGTTGAGACCACAGCCCCAATCTCATAAGAGACCGGAAGGCAGAGGCAGCTAACTAAACTGTGTCCAGATTCTGGTCCACACAAATTGTGAGATACTATATACTATTGAAAGGTGCTAAGTTTTAGGGCAATGTTGTCAGAAAGGAGCAGATATCTAGCCTCATCTCCCAAGCCCCAGGATTCTCCATGCCTCTGCTTATCTCTTCCTCAGGCTGTCTGTACCAAATTGGTCCCTTTCTAATCTCTGCCAAACTCACACCTGTAAGACTCTTCACCAAGGGTGGCTTCTCACTGACACATTCTTGTGCAGAGATGCCTCCCTGTTATCATTCTCATCATGGATTAAAGATCACCTCAGTGAGGACTTTGGGTCCCCCCATTCAATGACTTTGCAGCTCTTCTTCTCAACATTCTACTTTATATAATAGTCCTTGCTCTTTTCTTTTATATATACTTGCTTTAGTGCTTTTGTCGAGCTGACTTCAGACTGTTCTGTCCTTGGAGGGGTATGCAGGCATGATGTAATCATTTTCTGTGCCACATGTTGGACCCACCAGGGTAGCTGGCAAAGGGTGAGTGCAAGGGAAAAAAGATTGGCTAAGTGGGCAATGTGGAAATTGTTGATAATAACATGAGGTGTGTGACTCTTACTTGCTCCAGCTGCTCCAGCAAAGCTCAATAGGCACCAGAAACACAGCAGGCTGTAACCACCTCCAGGCCATCACTAACACTGCAGCCCCATGCAGGAACATTATGGAACAAATCAGGTACCATTGTTTTGTGTCCTCAAGACACTGACTCTTTGGAGTTCCAGAGGACAAAGGAGCAGAATCTGAAGGCTCCAAGTACACTGAGTGACCTTGGAATCCTCCATTGCCCTCTCTTTGCCTCCACCATTTGGAGTGTGCCATTTACTCATGAGGCACCCTCCCCTTATCCAGGGAAATTATTTAATACGACTTTCAAATGAGGAGCTCAAAAACCCAACAGGAACTGGCATTTTCCCATGACTTCAGACTCAGGGTCCAGTGTTCTGACACGTTTAGCTCTATCCCATCTTTATCTACCCAAAATGCCTCTGGAGTGGCCATGCCTCTCTCTGATTTGAAGGGCCTCCAGGGAGTAGAAGCATTTCTGCAGAGTTTCAGAGCAAAGAGTCTTAGTTCACCAATGAAGAATCAAGGCTGGCAGACACTTATGAGTATGTGAAACAATCAAGGTTACCCACTTCGAGCACCCCTATTTATGAGGAAGAAAACAGTCTTCTCTGTAGCCATTGTCTACATTAGGCTGAGGTGGAGCATAGCTCATTTTACTTCCAGCTCTCCACAGAAGTGGATACAGAACCCCAGTCCTGTCCTCTTGAAACCGACCTGGAGAGGACCCCATGTGAGACACAACCCTGGAACTGCTCATTCTCTGTGCCCCTGGATATGTATCTAGGGAAGCGGATGCCCTTGCCTTATGGCAGATCTGCCCGCCCAGCTATTCATTTGTAATACATGGCCTTTAATGCTTTGAAGTGAATTTACTTTACACCTAATTTGTTGAGAGTTTTTATCATAAAGCGATGTTCCTTTTTGGAAAAAAGTTTTATTCGTCTATTTAAATGTTATGCTTGATCCTGGGTCTGTCGTTCTGATCAGAAGCTGACAGGTGCATCCATTCCTAGAGGAGAGCATGAGAACATCAGTTCTCACATTCTGTGATCATGACCTGCTTATAATGTCCACTCTGAGTGTCTGACTCCCTGAAGTAAATTGTGGCCCAGGAACTGTCATCTGTTGTCTTCACTGAATTAGGCCAAGTGTCTGGAAAACTGCGTTATATATATGTGATGAATAAATAAGCCCTAACTACAACCTTTTTAGCTATGTCTGAGTGTGCCTGGGGACTCTTTCCTACAGGATCTCTCTGTTTCAAGGACAAAGTCCAGCTAACAGGAAGCTCAAGTGCCCTTTACAAATGTAAGAACATGTTTGTTTTCTATATGATTGTCCAATTATAGAGGGACATGAGTCACTGTGACATGAAAGACCTTCTGGGGTGAAAGAAGAGAAAAAAGTAATAAATACGAACAATCAGAGCATGCCCCAGCAGGCTTTCCACAAAGCCGAGCATTAGGAAACCACTTTTCATATTGTATGCCATTCATTTCTCACAAAAAACATATAAGGTTGTGGGGGAAAGTTAAATATTAAATTTGAATTCAATTGAACATGGACAAAAGCAATGGTCATTAAGTCTCAGACAGGTTGCATGAGCCGCTTGAAGCATTCATCTGGCACTGTTTTGAAGAAATATCTATTTCAATCTATTCCTATGTGTTAGTTATTGAAAAACCACAGACAATTGCAAAAACAAGATAACCTTTTCCAGTTCCTTGAGCCCAGTTGTGAAGAGCCCTCGTGACTGGGCCTCATGCCAAACAACTCATTACAAAAAGAACTAGGGCTCTAGGCCACGCTGAAACTTCCTAAGACCTCTTCTTGTCTGTGCAGGGATGGGTGACCTACTCTGGAGTCGAGGCTGTTGCTTCCCGGTCTGGTAATGAATCCTCCGCTGTCTGGTGGGCGTAAATATGTATATATGTTTCCCTTCTCCCCTTCCCATTGCAATTTGCTTATTATAGCTGCACTGCCATTTACGTCAGATAAAGCTTGTTTACCCTTAAAGGTTTTTTTGGGTGTGTTTTCTTCTCCCCTTGCATGTCTCTCGTACAGAACAGAGGTTCATTTTACAATTCTCTATAAAGATGCAAATTGAGGCTGATAAAGATGCACTGGTATGCTAAGACACAGTTAGTAGCTGGCAGAGTCACCACTGTGCCTTGGAGAAGACATATGCTCAACTACTAGACAGCTGGTCCAGGAACTACAGAGTGGTGAGGAAGTCCTGGTAAAACTTGAGAAAAATGATAAAAAGAAGAGAGTTTGACCCTGGAAGGCTGCTGTCAGGGACTTCGTCAGCTTCTCCGTTGTGCCTGGTTTGGCGCATTGGCATCATTCACACCTCTAGGTTAAGAATAGACTCATTTCCTCTTGGGGAGGGGACAAGACTTTTCATGGCAAGACCATGAAACACCAGAGGCTTGGAATGTGGAGCTTGGATGAGGAAATCTCCATCCTTCAGAGACTTGGGCATGTGGAGGACATGGGTGTTTATGGTGAAAAAGGTTTTAGGCCTCTGATATCAAATTTAATGTGGAGGTAGAGAATAATTAATCCATGAATACATTCAAGGCCTTCACGATATCATATCAGCTGTAAGACAACAGCACCCACTTGTATTAATAATCTTTATGAAGAGCATTATCCCAGAGAATTCCCAAAAAAACATACTCAGCCTACAAATGAGAAAATAAAGCTTTGTGATGTCAAATGGCTGCTCAGAAAAACACAAGTAAGAAAGAGAATCTTCCACGGTGGGGGTTGCATGAAATTCCCTTTAAGCTACCTGAGGCTCTATGTCTGTCCCTGACTTAGGGGGAAGGGCATGGGGAAGGCTCACTTTCTTTCTGTTTTAGAGACAGGGCACAGGATAAGATACCCTAAGACAACCCTTTTGACTTAAAGCAACTGAACTGGGTCTTTTAAAACCTTAAAGGGAGTGTTGAGAAATAACTACAGCAACCCCACACCTGACAAAGGTGTCAGTGCTTGGGGACTCCAAGGTGAGAGAAACCCCTCACAGGGCCAAGGAATTGAGCGGATTAACTGAGGGAACAGAAAACTCAAATAAGTATAAATCAACTGAAAGGTAACTCAAATATATCAGTTGAAAAATTGAAATAGAAACATGTTTTTTTGCCACATAGATAGCAGATTGACAAAAAAATTAAAAGAATGTTGACAACCAAGAGGTTCTGGATACATAAAAGCAGATAAATTCAGAAACTACTATTTACAGTACGGCTTTCACAACCCTTTTGGAATATATTCCGGCTTCTCCTATTAAACCTTTACACTTTCCTACTGTTTCACTGAGTAATCATTTTCCTGGGAGACTATAATCTACAAGGGATTAGTAAATGTTGTGAGCTAGATTGCATTCCCTTCCTAAAAATTATATGTTCATGTCCTAACACCTAGTGCCTCAGAACATGACTATATTTGAACATATAGCCTCTGCAAATGTAGTTAGGTTTAAGTGAATTAATTGGGGTGTATCCTAATTCCAGATGACTGGAGCCCTTATTAGAAGAGGCAGGAAGGACAGAAAAGCACAAGAGAAGATCTTGTGAACACAGATATAGTAGATGACGATCTACAAGCCAAGGATGGAGACTTCAGAGAAACCACACAGCCAGTAGCTTGAGGTTGGATTTCTAACTTCCAGAATTGTGCGACATTCAGTTTTTGTTGTTAAAGAACTTCAGCCTGTGGTACTGTATTAGGGAAGTCATAGCAAAGCGTTACAGCCTATTAGGACACAGATAAGATGTTCCCTGTAGCGGCTGGGCGCGGTGGCTTACACCTGTAATCCTAGCACTTTGGGAGGCCGAGGCGAGTGGATCACGAGGTCAGGAGATCGAGACCATCCTAGCTAACACGGTGAAACTCTGTCTCTACTAAAAAAAAAACCACACACACACAGAGAAAAAAAATTAGCCGGGCGTGGTGACAGGCGCCTGTAGTCCCAGCTACTCAGGAGGCTGAAGCAGGAAGATGGCGTGAACCCAGGAGGCAGAGTGCAGTGAGCCGAGACTGCACCACTGCACTCCCACCTGGGCGACAGAGCGAGACTCCGTCTCAAAAAAAAAAAAAAAAAAAAAAAAAAGATATTCCCTGTAGCATGGCTGAAGTGGAAATAGAATTTATTGTGTCAGGCTCCACCAGTATTAAAAGCCTAAATTACTGAGGGAAAGGCCCCACTTATGGAATCTTATAAAGACATATGAGGACACAGCTCCTGTCCTGATGGGGTTATAGAGGTGGGCTCTGGGATACATATGTAAAGAGTCATATAAGACCCTTTTGCATAACTCCCACTTTTTGGGTGAAACCTCTCTCTCTAGTAACAGTGTGAACTTCTAAGACTTAGAGAAGGTCTGGCAAGGCAGCGAAGCTGCCTGCTCCAGGAAGTATGTGGGGTGGGTAGATATAACAATAAAAATAATAGCAACATGCAAAGATACTCACAACTTAATGTAAAGTAATAACAACACAAAAGTGTTTCTTTTGACATTCCTGCAAGCATATGACCGGGGACTGTGCACCTAAGTTGCCATTATGGACTAATGGAGGCCAAATTCCTCTGGGAAGGAACTGTGGGTCCTTAATGGAGAAAGCCCTAAAACGGTTTCTGGGGAATCCTCACATTTGGGTCAGGGTCCTGGGCTTCCCTGGTCTTTTCCATTTGGAGACCTCTCTGTGCCCACCTTGACTCCAGACTAGCACGGGCCATGGTTGTTGGCATGATGCACCTGCCTTTTGTTCAATGAGATGGAGTAGTTGGACTCATCAAACAGCTCCTCAGGGATCTCCTCAATAGAGTTCTGCAAAGAGAGTGCCTGGAAGCCTGGCCAAGAGGCATCAATGGCATCCTGGCTTTCCCCACAGGGGAAATTCCAGTTAGAAAGTCTACTCCCCAGATCAGGCACATAGGAGCATTTGCGCAGACCTCCAGCCAGGGAGAAAACAAGAGGACAGCTTGAAGCCTTAGAATAAATGTCTGAACAAACAAAGGTGACCCCCAGCACTCACCTTCCCCTCCTGCCAACTGTAACCTGCGGTATAAATTTGACAGGCTTTTAGCCTCCCAATACCTGGAAACCTGCTCCTGTCAAGAAAGGACCCATTATCTCTTTCTTTCCCACGAGACGTGGAGATGAGGAGGGGTGTGTGCCTGCCGAGATGATATCAAAGGTGAGGCCTGGCCTGGATAGGCCTGCCATGGGTGGCCTTGTGTTATCTATGGGTAACCCTTTCCAAATGGCCAGAAGAGCCAGCAGTGCAGAATGAGCACTGTCTCCATCATAAAAAAAAGTCTCTCTGTTCAAGCCTTCCTGAGATGAGAGCCTCAGAAATTCAAGACATAGCAGGAGAACATCTTGCTGTCTTCAGAGTCTCCTTAGTAAATACAAAGCTGTCTCTAGAATTAGGGCTCCAGGTTACCAGAGTTCTAAACTTTCTTTGAGATTGTAACTAAGGAAGTGAGGTCACTTCGAGATTCCATCACCTGGGCTCCGGTGCGGGAAATGAACGAGGGGAAAAGAAAAGGCACCCACAATAGTTTTAAGGATAAATAGCCTTTATCCCAAGTGTATGGCAATACAGACTTGATAAGCAAATAATATAATAAGCAAATTGCAATGGGAAGGACAGAAAGAAAATATATATATGTATATTTACACGCACCAGACTATGGAGGATTCATTACCAGACTGGGAAGCAACAGCCTGGGCTCCAGAGTCAGCCACGTGTCCATGCACAGATGAGGAGAGGTCTCATGAAACTTCAGCACAGTCTGGGACCCTAGCTCTTTTTGTAATGTGTTGTTTGGCATGAGGCGCAGTCACAGGTGCCCTTCACAACTGGGCTCAAGGAACACAAAAGATCAACTTGTTTTTGCAATTGTCTGTTGTTTTTTCAATAACTAATGTATAGGAATGGATTGAAAGATTTCTCTGAAACAGCGCTGGATGAACACCTCAAGGGGCTCATGCAACCTGTTCCAGGACTTCGTGACCATTGTTTGTGCCCATGTTCAATTGAGTTCATATTAAATATTTAACTTTTCCTCCACATTAGATTCCCAATTCTCAGAACCATGTCCACTGCCACAGGGCCTGGCTGGGAATATTGTCACTCATAGAGTTTAGAAGATGGAATGCTGGTCAGTGATGATGCTAGGGTGTTAGGTGAAGGCAGCCGGGACAGTCCCTCCAGGTTGAGGGAGGAGCTGGCCTCTCTTGTGGGGTCCTTGGCATGTCATTGCCGCTTTGGGCCTCTGTTTTCTTATGTGGAAAATTTAGGAATGATGAGCCTGTTGGGCAGGCCTCACAAGGTGGTGATGGGGCTCAGGGAGACAGAGAATCTGAGGGTGCTTGTGTCTGGCTCATCCTGAGAGGGATGATGGTGACAGCAATCATGACAACCACATGAAACCGAGGTGGTAAGAGGCCTTGTGAGGTAGTTGGTTCCCACCACACTTTCCAGTTGAGGAAACAGCTCAGGGAAACCCGACTGCATGCCCAAAATGACACATCCAGGGAGTGTTGGACCTGGGAGTGAGTCTAGAGTCAGAGCTCACTGGAGATGGTCAGAGCATTGGACAAGCTGACTCAGGCCACTTATCCGTGTCCAAGGTTAGTGTGGCTGAGGCGTAACTGAAAGAAGCATATTTTCACTGACCTTGTCCCTCATCCTAGCAGGTGAACACCGTACAAGTTGTCTACCCTGTAGCGGAGCCCCAGAGAGCTTAGGTGAGGCTGTGACAGCAGAAGGTGAATGTGCCTGTGATGGGGAAGGGCTCCAGGGTTTCAGAGAACAGAGCTTACTTCTCCCAGCTGGAAACCTCCAAATCAAAAAAGCAGAGGGCCTTTCTACTCCAGCCCTTTTCTCCTGGGGCTGCAGTGCCTAAAACACCTTCATTAGACAGACCAGAGCAAGGCCTGGGAGAGCTGGGCTCCGTGTGGCTTTTAAAACAGGTGGAGCCAGGGACCACATGACCTTGTGGCTTGTTAAAATCCCACCAAGGAGGTAATTATGGTGAGGTTGGTGGCAATAGAGGCCAGCTAATGGGAAGACATAGAGAATTGGGAAAAGGCAGCTGAGGGTTCTCAGCTACTCCAAGTGGGTAACCTAGGTAGAGGGCGCCAGGAGGCAGGGGTTTATAAGAGTTCAGCGGACAGGACTTGGGTGGGCACCTCCCAAGTCATGCCCTCTCTGGGGACATTCCTCACTGATGTGGTGATGCTGGACATTGCCATGAAGGAGTGTGTGGATGTGAGTGAGCCTGGAGCAGACAGGTCAGGGACCAGGATCCTGAGGCCTGGGAGAAGAGAGTCTTGAACTGAGCTCCTAGATCTCAGTCCTTGCCAAAATTTTTTGCGAGGGCCTCGCAGCCCTCCCCATCCCGTATACAGGGTATTTTACTCATGAGTGATGGAGGCTCCACAGCAGCCATCAGTCCCACTCCCTGAGTAGTGAAGCTGCAGAGCTGCAAGACCTCTTTTGTGCACATTCCCTGACCCTGGTGGCTCTGGTGGTGGTGAAGCTTGGAAATCGCTGGAAATGGAGGCTAGTTATGAACCAGCGGACCTTTCTGATGGTCTTTGGCTTTCTGTCTTCCAGAGAAATGTGATCAAAACCCAGAAAAACAGAAAGGTGAGCAGTAGCTGAAGTCCTCACTTTGAGGGAGGGTGGAGGTGGAAATGAGAAATCACCCTGGGCAGGACATTCCCTGGTCCCTTCTTCCGCATCTAAGATTTATTGAAAGGGAGTAATACACAGAGAAGGAGGAGACCTATCCTAATGCAGGGTGCAATCAGGGGAGTGAAGTTGATGACAACTTCCTAGAGGAAGGGCCGTTTACATTCAACTCTGAGAACCAGTTAGGGCTGCATGATATTGGAGGGGAGGTGAGAGCCCCTTAAAAGAAACACCTCAGAGACCAGCCCTCCTCCCTTCTTTTATAAGGCCCCTACAGAGTCTTTCACCCAGGCCCTGTCAGCATCCTGTCTTTCCCTCTGTCTCCAGAAGATTAAAGTCCTCCAGGAGATGCAGCAGTTCCACACAGCTGGAAACCATCATCATCTTCAGACTCAAGAGGAATTTCGGGCTTTGTTCCAAGCCTGGAGCAGCACAATCAGAATAAAAGGCAAAGACCTAGCAGATGAGCAGAGGGTAGGAGGGGAGACTGTCTTGCCGCCAGCCTCACACAGCGTGTGGCCATGGTTCCCTGGCCGGCATCAGGTCCTGTTGCACCTGGACTCCAGCTGCTGGGGAGGAACTGGGGGACCTGAGGTGTGGCTTCTGGAACCTCACAGCTGTCACTCTTCTCTGAAGTTGCTAGCCATGAAGAACAGGCTGTGATAAAATCTCAGAGCCATTAAGTGCCTGTTGTTGGAATTGCTTTCATGGCTCATTGAAGTTTGTACTAAGCATGGGCTCTGGCAGTCAGGCAGCTCAAGTAGGGTTCCAGCCACACCATTGACCAGCCCTGCGAGTGGGGCAGAAAGCTCACTACTCTGGCACTTGAGGCATCACGTCGTAAATTTAATGCAACCAATCCCTTTTTCACTGTTACCTACCTTTCTCTATAATCACCATGACCTGATCTCTGCTAGCATTTTTCTTAAAATGGATAAACATATGTTATATAGTATATATTATTCTTCCTCATGATTTTTTTGCTATATTGTCTCTTTCCACTCATATGAGATATTTACAGCAGTTAAGTTCATAGAAACACGAAGTAGAAGAGTAGTTTCCAGGGACTACACAAAGGACAATGGAAGGGGAGTGTTGTTTACTGGGTACAGAGTTTCACTTTTAAAAGATTGAAAAACAGTTCCTTATGAACTTGGACAATGGTTGCAAAACAATGTGAATGTATTTAATTTCTTTAAACTGCACACAAAAAAATAATAAAATGGTTAATTTCATGTATTTTTATATTTTACTAAAAGGTAAAAACTACTTTCTAAAATGAACAGACTATAGCTATTTGCAACTGGTGGGTGAATATCACAAATGTAATGTTGCATAAAAGAAAGCAGACATGCCAGTTTGGGCAACATAGTGAAACCCTGTCTCTACCAAAAATACAAAACAATTAGCCGGGCATGGTGGTGCAAGACTGCGGTCCCAGTGACTCAAAAGGCTGAAGTGGAAGGATATCTTAAGCCTGGTAGGCAGAGGTTGCAGTGAGATCATGCCACTGCACACCAACCTGGGGAAAAGAAAGAAAGAAAAAAGAAGAGAGAAAGAAAGAAGGAAAGAAAGAGAGAAAGAAAGAAGACAGAAAAGGAAAGAAAGAAAGAAAACAGAAAAGGAAATAAAGAAAACAGATGTACAAGTATACATACTATATAATTTTGTTTATATAAAATGCTACAATCAAATAAAACTGAGGTTCTGACTTCCACTAAGTGTGGACTAGCTTGTTGAACTCTCACAAATAACAATGATGAAACTTGAATAAAATATATTATTATAGAAAAACGCCTATGCATAATACATATATGATATGTGTGTTTAACAACTGAATGAAGATTTCAGCTATACCCACTGTAGCGGACATAAGCATTGGTTTGACACTAGCCCAGTGAACCCTGTTTATAAAACAAAAGTCTTCAAGGTAAAACAGCAAAATCCAGAGTTTCTATTCTATAATTATCATTTATAGTTTCTAGTGCACAATTTTAAAATTCATAAGACTTGTAAAGAAACGTGAAAATGTCATCCATACACAATATCAAAAGCAGGCAGTAGAAGCTATCCCAGGATGTTGCAATCAGCAGACAAGAATTTGAAGGCAGTTTTTATGAATATGTTCATGGGGAAAAAAGAAAATATTCTATTCATAAACAAACAGATGTGGAACTTCAGCAGAGAAATGAACATATATATAAAAAAATTATAGATAAGGAAATGAAAAAAATCTTTTGAGTTTAGCCATAGATTTAAAACAGAAGACACAGCAATAGAAATTATCCAGTCTGGAAAAAAAAAAGTACAAAAAGTTTAAAGGAAATGAACAGAGCTCTCGAGACCTGTGGAATGACTGAGTCTAAGGAGAAGGGAGAGACAAAAAAAAAATTAAATAGGGAACAGAAGTAAATCAACAACTAATAGCGGAATACTTCCAAAAACTGTCCAAATACCTAAATATTTATATCCAAAAGGTCAATAAATACAAAACAAAATACAAATAAAACCACAGCAAGGCCATATCGTGGTTTATGAAACAGGCAAGGCAGGGCTTTTGCTTGACTTGCTGTGATATCTAATTGCTACTATTTATGGATACTATGGAAATAAATACTAAATAGAATGGGAGATAGGTTATTCTCAGAGTTTTTTTTTTTTTTTGCAAAGATGACTGTTATTAAAGGTAGATGACTTTCCAGCATGTCGAAAGGGGCGTGGCAGGGGAGGGGCGAGGAGAAGGGTCGGGGCTGAGGGAGGGGCCCTGCAAAGGTCTGGGCGCGCCCAGCTCCCCGAGAGCAAGCGTTACGGCAACGCTGGGCAGGCTGTTGGAGGCTCCCGGGTTCTGTCTTGTCAGAGAGAAATCAAACTTCAGGCACAAATAGTCGTACAACTGGCACGTGGGGAGACTGTGCCACAATTACAAGTGAGACCACCTGCCCTGGCCACGCTGTCTCCTCGCACGCAGAAGTCTGGGAACAGATAGGCTCCCCTCAGCAGGGCGGAATTGCACTGGAAACATGGAGGGGCGGAGGAGAAGATGAAATTATCCCCTCAGTGTTGGAACTGTAGTCTCAGAGAAGATGAAATTTTCCCCGTAGTGTTGGAACTGTAGTCTCAGATCCACTCACAGCCTTTCTGTCGCGGCAGTCGGACTATGATCCCAGCATGCGCTGGGCTTAAGGGAGGTTCCCAGCCCTGGAGGAAGGGTCAACAGGGTGGGTCCCTCGCAAGGCGTCCTGGGAGTCATAGTCCTTAAACGGTTTCCAGCACGTTGATCGCAAGGCTACCGAACTACAATGCCAGCATGCACCGGGATTGGGGCGGTGTGTAACGCTGGAGGGAAGGATAGAGAGGCGCGTCCCTGGCCAGGGATGCTGGGAGTTATGGTCTCTTAATGGTTTCCAGCGATGGCCCCCGGCCTGCAGACTAAAATCCCAGCAGCCACCGGGCTTCGAGGCGGTGTGTAGCACTGAAGGGAAGGATAGGGAGGTGCGTCCTTAGCCAGGCGTGCTGGGAGTTATGGTCTCTTAACAGTTTCCAGTCAGTTGGTCCCAGGATTACCTGACTACAATCCCAGCATGCGTTGGGCTTGGGGGCGGTGCGCAGCCCTAGAGGAAGGATCGGGACGGCGGGTACCTCGCAAGGCATCCTGGGAGTCATAGTCCTTTCAGTATTTCCAGCCCATTGGTCGCGAGGCTAACGGACTACAATCTCAGCATGCGCTGGGTTTGGGGGCGGTGTGTAGTATGGAAGCGAAGGATAGGGAGGCGCGTCCCTAGCTAGGAGTGCTGGGAGTTTTGGTGTCTTAACGGTTTCCAGCCCATTGGTCGCCGACCTGCTAACTACAAAACCAGCATGCGCTGTCTGTCCTCCCCCGTGGTGCGCAGCCCTGGAGGGAGGGACAGGGCGGTGTGGACCTCGTCCTTTCCTAAGCGATGCCACATGCTGATTCTGTGCCACCCCCTCGCCAAGGGAGTCCGCAGAAGGACTTGAGGGGCAGGTCTAGGCTGGGCGATGAGGACGGTGTGACCCTGCGAAGTGCACCTCCCTTGCTCAAATCGGAGGGGTCTGGTCCTCACTGAACAGCCCGCTGAACATCTCGGTGTCCTCTCACATACACACCCGCGGGGGGTTTCCAGAGCATCGCACCTCTTCCAGCCCAGGGAGCCGCCTGCTCTGCTAAACTCTATGGGAACTGAGACATCCACCTGCTGCGTGACCCACCCGTGCGCAACTTCAGAGCTTTCAGGGGGTGATGCGGGCTGTGGCTCCTTCGTGAAAATGTCACCGTCTGCAGCGCCTTTCTTGTGATATAGAACTTGACGGGTGAGAGCGGGTATTTCTTGGGTTACTCAGGATCTGCTAACAGCAGAGGAGAAAACCACAATTCCCAGGCATAAGAATCTACCTAAAGATGATGGTTTAGATATTTTACAGTTGAAATCACCAGCCTCATCTCAACTGAGTCCTGACTGACGAGTGTCTCAAAAAAGCAGTTGGTGACCTCATCCCTCAGGAACAGGTGGTGCTCCAGCTTTGTGGGGATGACTTTCAAGGTGCAGAGCACTTGAGCCGCATTTGAAGTCATTCGTGTTTTACATCTCTGCTTTGGATGGAAAGTTGATCCCCCACAGCCGTTGGGGATGTACCTTAATATACTGGGGCTTATCAGTTAAATTTTTCTGTCTAGACAATGAAAACCCAGAAGTTCCACTTGCAGGTAGCCTCTTAATAATCGACGTTCCTAAGTTCCTTATGTCCTCAGGATAGTTCCTTTTGTTCCCAGATGTTACCAACTTTGATGATGCATCTAATCTGTACAAACCTGTGTATTTCTCTATGTGAAAAGAATACTTTGTTCAAATTACATGTTCTTATAAATTTCACTTGTGATCGGTGAGTATGGGACACTATAAAAAAATCCTGAAAAACCTCATCATAGCAATTGAATCACGTTACTGTACTTTATGAGGAATTAACCCCTTCAGGATGAATTACTCATGGGTTCATCAGCACATTTGTGAAGAAAGGAAGAAAAACTGTATGGCCTTTATGAAATTGGAAAAATAAAGAACTATATATAGGAGGACCACAGCACAATACTAGGACCCTTCTCTTATTTTAAATAGACTCTATGGGGTCGAATGCCTGCATTCCTAACCTATCCTGCAGTATTCTCATCCTACTCTTCACTGTGTATTTAGGTGGGGGTTTCTGAATTCACTTGTCCACAGCGTTAGTGGGGATGTTGTAACGTGAGGGTATCCATCATCTATCATCTTAATAATTAATGAAGAGAAGAGCCTTGAGATCTGTCTTCAGATACACTGCTGTCGAGTATGTGCCTGCAAAGACACTGCCCACACCGGTGGTCTCAGAAAGTTGAACCTGATGCCACCACAAGCTGCTGTTCACAGATCTAGGTGCTCCTTGTGATTTGAGTCTCCTGCTTACATTTGTGGTTGTGAACCTGCTATGCTCACGCCATTTATGGTAGTATATTTTGTGTCACCTTTTCTATTCCATTTGTTTCCTGGGAACTCACTGTGTAACTGCAATTCAGAGAATATGTAGGGACTCCACCCCCGACTACCTAAGTCACTGTACACTGGTCACATTTGTGTCATGTTTTCAGACTACACACTCTTCCTCTCTAATGGAATTTGTTGAAGAAATATAGTTGCCCTGTAGATCTCCTCAGTGTAATGTGGCTGGGATTGATTATGAAGCTGGGCATGTTGTCCTTGGCCTCATAGACATTATTCAAAATACCTTTCCCATATTTTGAAGTTTGATACTACTTTGTTAATGTGAACACTTGCCATAGCAGGCTCTATTAAATATCTCTGTGAATTTAACTGTCAAAACAACTTATGAAGTAGGCACATGATCCCCATTTTACAGGTGAGGAAACAAATGTTCCAAGATTTTGAGTAATTTTATTAACTTTACACAGCTTTCTGGTGCATTTTGAATCTTAAGTTGGATCTCTTTCTCCACAATGTGTGGGCTTACCTCCTTTTCTATTTTGTGCCTCTCTGCTAGCATCTGCAAGGGTACATTTTATTTTTAGTACATCTTCCACTTGATGGTAGGAAACTTGACAAACAGATCCTTAGTGGGAGAGGAAACTCAGTGGCATTTGTCCTTCTCTCTGCTCCTTCTTACCCTGGCAGGCATGAGACTTATCAAGTGAGATGGAGCAGTGGTAGATCCTGACCAGTCCTCACCTGGAATATTTGTTATTATAAAAAAATAGTCCTCTCATTTTTTACAAGTGTAACTTCTTTGCCTTAAAGTTTTGTCTGGGCTTTCTCTTACAGGTTCCTGTGAATGAAGTTGCAAATATTGATGAAGATAATACTACTGCCTTGCTGTCAAACAGTAACAGTCACCTTTTTTTGTATCTCCAATTATAAATGCAATACATACTGTAAAAAGAAAAGAAAACATCATAAATATCTTTATAAAGTAAAAGTCTTGGCTGGTCTCTGGGAGCAGTGACTCATGCCTGCAATCTCAGCACTTTGTGAGGCCGAGGTGGGTGGATCATGAGGTCAGTAATTTGAGGCCAGCCTAGCTGACATGGTGGAACCCCATCTCTGCTAAAAAATACAAAAATTAGCTGGTCTCGGTGGCGGGTGCCTATAATCCCAGCTACCCACTAGGCTGAGGCAGGAGAATCACTTGAACCCAGGAGGCAAATGGTGCAGTGAGCCAAGATCGTGCCATTGCACTCTAGCCTGGGCAACACAGTGAGACTTCATCTCAAAAACAAAACAAAACAAAAAACTTGGTTGGCCTAGTGGCTCAATCCCAGCACTTTGGGAGCCCAAGGCAGGTGAATTGTTTGAGCCCAGAAGCTCAAGACCAGTGTGAGCAACATGGTAAAACCCTCTCTCTACAAAAATACAAAAATTAACCAGTTGTGGTGATGTACACCTGTATTCCCAGCTACTAGGGAGGCTGAGGTGGGAGGATTGTTTGAGCCTGGGAGGCCAAGTTTGCAGTGAGCTGAAATCACACCACTGCGCTTCCATGTGGGCAACAAAGTGAGACCCTGACTCAAAAAATAAAAACACATTAAAATGAAAGTCCCCTTTATTCCCTTCTCTTCAAACTCACTTTTTTTATTTGAAAAAACTGTTAAGAGGTTGTTTTTTATTCTTCTGGCTAAGTTGTATAAATTTCTTTTTTTTTTTTCGAGACAGACTCTCGCTCTGTTGCCCAGGCTGGAGTGCAGCGGCGCGATCTCGGCTCACTGCAAGCTCTGCCTCCCGGTTTCACGCCATTCTCCTGCCTCAGCCTCCCGAGTAGCTGGGACTAGAGTTGCCCGCCACCACACCCGACTAATTTTTTGTATTTTTAGTAGAGACAGGGTTTCACCGTGGTAGCCAGGATGGTCTTGGTCTCGATATCCGGCCCCCTGATCTGCCCACTTCGTCTTCTCAGAGTGCTGGGATTAGAGGCGTGAGCCACCGCCCCCGGCCTGTTCTATAAATTTCTAAGTGATACACATAAAGTTTATTTTAAAAATTACATCACACTACATTAAAATTTACTCTTTCTCCAGGTGTATTCCATCTATCTATCTATCTATCGATCATCTATCATCTATCTATCTATGACAAGGCCTTGCTCTGTCACACAGACTGGAGTTCAGTAGCTCAATTATGGCTCACTGCAGACTCAAACTCTCAGGCTCAAATGATTTTCTAACTTCAGCTTCTGAAGTAGCTGGGAGTACAGGTGCATGCCACTACTCCTGGTTAATTTTTAGTTTTTGTTTGTTTTTTTCTTTAAACAGGGTCTCACTGTGTCACCTGGGCTGGAATGCAATGCATAATCACAGCTCACTCTAGCCTTGACCACTCAGGCTCAGGCAATTCTCCTGTCTCAGCCTCCTGAGCAGATGGGACCACAAATGTGTATTAACACACTTGGCTGTTTATTATTATTTGCAGAGACAGGGTCTCCCTATCCTGCCCAGGCATGTTGTGAACTCTTGTGCTTAAGCAATCTGCTACCTCGGCCTCCCAAATTGCTGGAATTACAGATGTGAGCCACCACAACTTACCCAGCCTTTTTACTTTGTGTAAGAATAGCATCAGTGTATTAAAAATACAACGGAAATTATTTATGGTGTCTTTTCAATTCTTATGCATTAAAATTCTCTTATTAGGGCCTTTTATTAATGGTTACAGTGTATTTTCTGTGAAATTTTACTGTCACACACTGCATGCCAATGATTCAAGATACACGAACTTCATGAATGCACAGTCACAGTAGAATATTTTAGTTATCTAAAAAGTATTTTCATAAATGATATATCAAGTTTATATGCAAGGTAGCCTGGTCTGGTAGCAGGTGCTTGTAATCTCAGTGAAGGCTGAGGCAGGAGAATGGTTTGAACTCAGGAGGCGGAGGTTGAAATGAGCCGTCGTCTCGCCACTGCACTTCAGCTTGGGTGACAGAGTGAGACTCTGTCTCAAAAAAAGAAAAAAACTTTGCTTGCAAGATTTTATGAGTAAATATGTTTCTTATTTTTCTTTACAATTCCATATTACTGTCTCGATTATTTAGAATAGGTTCCAGGGCAGCAGTTGATTTTATTTTGGGTTTTACTTATGTATTATAACTTTGGATGTTATAATTTCCACCTCTGCCTGTACACTTCAAGTCAATGTGGATTTTTAAAAAAATGTTAATAGTACAAACTATTCATAGATTCAACTTCATAATGTTAAAAGCAACGGCAGCTCCTGGTTTAAAAAGGGAACGGTGGAAGCAGCCGGCCATTTTATTTAAAATCGCGTTAGATTTTTCAGATGGATGATAGTTAAGATCATTAAATCCCATTACTGCTTCTAAGATTTCCACAAAATAGCACATTAAATCCTCAGTCCTAAGCAATCACGACAGAGATTCAAAATTGCCTCTCAATGTCAAGGTAAACAGCGCACTATCTTCTCTTGCAATAAAGGTACATCATTTGATATACAAGGGAGCATAGCAGTCAGACACTTACAAGATCGTGCTGTAGAAATAACTTCCATGTTTTCATCCGCCATGTGTATCCTCACCTCTGTCTCCCATGCAGTAACACTATCAGTTTCCTCATCTGTCCTTTCCACTTTCTTTGAAAGAGGATGCTGATTGCAGACAATACATGACAGAGGCATTTCAAATCAGAAAGGAGTGTCTTGAGATATACGTGATTTTAGTTTTAAGTAGAATGTCCTGAAGAGTTTTAGTTACAATACCACCTTCAAGAGGATGGTGGTGAAATTCATAGTAAACATTTGGCAAAATATAGGTTATGAGGCAGCCATCTCCTAGAAACACTTCATCGGGGTTTATATATGAAATGTGAAATATCGTAGGTTTAATCCTGGCACAGAACCAAAACTGAGTGCATTGCACTTGAACAGCTGACCAATCCCCAGCACAGGTCCATATGAAGAAACGGAGAAGAAAGAATCCTTTTAACCACAGAAAGCTCTTCATTTGCCCAAACTAAAAACCAAATTTCACTCAGGAAACTAATGTTGGGTTTAATTAAAATATAAATCGGTCATATGTTTTCAAAATTAAATTATATATGTGTTTGTCTCTATAAATATGTCCCCAACTTTGCTCATGGCTTATCTTCCATATTTTTTGGCTGATTTTCAGTGGTTGTCTTATCTTGTGTGGATGAATAGTCATTGAAATAATCTTAATTTCACAATGTGTTTAATTATAAATCTATACTTCCTTTGTGTGAGAGAAAATCTTTTGTGAACAAAATTTAATTTTTGGAAAGCTTTATAAGTCCATATTTTTCCTTTTAAAAATTGCGATTGTGGTAAAAACACATAATGTAAAATTTACCATTTTAATTCTTTTTAAGTGTATATTTCATTAGCGTTAAGTACATTCACATAGTTATGCAAAAGATCTGTAGAACTTCTATGTCTTGCAAAACTAACATTAAATGTCTTTTAAGACAATTTCCCATTTTACCATCTCTTCAGTCCTTGACTAACACCATTCTAACTTTTTTTTTCCTATGAGTTTGTCTACTTAAGATACCTGATTATGAATGGAATCATAGACTGTCACTTTGTTCCTGGCTTATTTCAGTTAACGTGATATTCTCAAGAATAATCATATAATGTGACTTTTTAAAGACTGAATAATATTCGACTTTGTGTATGTGCCACTTGTTATTAATCTCTTCATTGGTCAAGGGACAGCTGGGTTGTTTCTGTCTTTTGGCTTGTGTTAGTAATGCTGCAATAAATTTGGGTGTGCAAATATCTCTTCCGGATCATGTGTTGTATATTTTAAATACATAGCCAGAATGGGGTTTGCTGGATTGTATAATAATCTCATTTTAAATTTTTTGAAGAGCTTTCATACTATTTTAAAAATAAGTTTGATGTGATAGATTATTGTGACTTTTCTTTGTATTTTTCTAGAAGAGAGTTCTCGAGTATCCTTTTAAATGCCTAGTCATTTCTATGTCTTCTTTGGAGAAAGTCATTTCAAACATGTGCCATTCTAAATCAAGTTATTAACTTTTTTTGTTGTTGAGTTTTAGGAATTTATATATTTTGAAAATTAACACCTACCAAATATGTGATTAGAAAATATTTTTACTCTTTTTTGTTATATGTATGTATGTATGCATATATATAACCCTATACAAGACAGGGTCTTGCTATGTTTTCATGGCTAGTCTCAAACTTTTGGCCTCAAGTGATTGTTCTGCCTTGGCCTCCTAAAGTTGTAGAATTAAAGGCATGAGACACCATGCCTAGCTTTCACCCACTTATTAGGTGACGTTTGTATGGCACTAAATGTTTTATTTGATGTGTAGAATAGTTGAAGCTTAATGTAGTCCTTTTTTTTGGTCGTTGTTCTTTTCCTTGTTGCTTATGAATTTGATGTCAAACTTAAGGAAAGAGTTTTAAGACTTATGTCATAAACTTTTCCCTTATGTTTACTTCTAAGAATTTTATTAGGTTTTATGTTTAAGTATTGAATTC